>NC_000005.10:25459335-25762366 GCF_000001405.40 Homo sapiens | reverse complement strand
AATTATATTTTTAGAGACAGAGTGTAGTGATGCAATCATAGTCCACTGCAGCCTCCAACTCCGGTGTCCAGTAATCCTCCTGTCTCAGCCTCTCAAGCAGCTGAAACTACAGGTGGGCACCACCATGCCAATCTTTTTTTAAACTTTTTGTAGAAATGGGGTCTCACTATGTTGCCCAGTCTGGTCTTGAATTTCTGTACTCAAGTGATCCTCCTGCCTTTGCCCTGCAAAGTGTTAGTATTACACACGTGAGGCTCTATGTGCAGCTGAAAACATGCCTTATTAAATATTCAGCTGCTTTTGGAGGTAAATATTCTTTTTTTTTTTTTTTTTTTGGCGGAGTCTTGCTCTACTGCCCAGGCTGGAGTACAGTGGCACAATCTGGGCTCACTGCAAGCTCTGTGCCCCAGGTTCACACTATTCCCCTGCCTCAGCCTCCCGAGTAGCTGGGACTACGGGCGCCTGCCACCAGGCCCAGCTGATTTTATTTTTGTATTTTTAGTACAGACGGGGTTTCACCGTGTTAGCCAGGATGGTCTCGATCTCCTGACCTTGTGATCCTCCCGCCTCAGCCTCCCAAAGTGCTGGTATTACAGGTGTGAGCCACCGTGCCCAGCTGGTAAATGTTCTTAATGACAGTTAAAGTACCAGAGAGATTGACCCTAGAATTGACCCTCAATCAGTTTGGAATGGGGGATGATGAATAAATACTCCCTCTTTACCGGGTTTCTATGAGCACAGTATTTTAACACAGTATTTCAGAAAGTCTCGAAAGGCAGGTGCTTCAGTGTTAACCATGAGAACCCTATAATAAAATTACCAATATTAATTTTCTACCATTTTCTCTCTCACTCCCCACTTTCTCCTGGTATTACTTGGAATAAACCTCAACATAAACCACTTGCAATGTAACCTTTGACTTATAGTCTGCTTTTAATAAACTCAAACTAGTGCATTACTACTATAAGTGACCTTACAAAGCAGAATCTTGACAAGGGATTCAGAAATTTCATCAGATAGCAGTAAGAATTCCATTACTGGTCAGGCTGGGCGCGGTAGCTCATGCCTGTAATCCCAGCACTTTGGGAGGGTGAGGCGGGTGGATTGCCTGAGGTCAGGAGTTCGAGACCAGCCTGACCAACAAAGTGAAACCCCGTCTCTACTAAAAACAGAAAAATTAGCCAGGCGTGGCAGTGTGTGCCTGTAATCCCAGCTACTTGGGAGGCTGAGAAAGGAGAATTGCTTGAACTTGGGAGGCGGAGGTTGCAGTGAGCCAAGATCACGCCACTGCACTCCAGCCTAGGTGACGGGATGAGATTCCATCTCAAAAAAACACAAAAAAACAAACAAACAAAAAAAAACAGAATTCCATTACTGGTTAGCAGTCTTAAAATAACCCCTGGTATACCAAGGCATCGTTAGTTTCTGGAATTCTCACTGGATAGACTATGATACCATATAAGAAGAAGGGAAAGTATTTGCTTATTATGTCTCAAGAATATAAAAGATCTGAAGGAAATGGAAATTATAAATATTATGGCACAGGGCAATCAACTAACAATTCAAGACACCGTAAAAGCCCGAAGGGCTAAACCTGTAGACAGGAGCAGCTCTCTATTGCCTGGAAACCATGAAAAAGCATCCTATAAAGTAGATCCTATTCTTCTGCAGATGTAGCACAGCTTGTCCTCAAAGTCAGGTTCAAGATCCAAATGTTATCACTGAGATCAATTTCACAGCCCAGGCAATGCTCCTGCTCTAAATTCAGGACCCTCATAGGGAAAGAATGAGACCCTCAGATTTGGGATAGGGAAATTTGGTTGGCGGTATTGAGAACAACGACTCCACGGATTTACCTGACATTTATTTGCTGAAAGCAATCAGGCTCCTACCTCTTGGGGTAGAGCCACCTAGAAAGCACACATAATTTTCAACAGAGGATTATTGTTAGCTACTTAATGTTTGCTCACATCATAGTCTTCAATCACTCGCTCTTTTGTTTCTAAGCCAGTAACTATCAGGGTTAAATAAAATCCGAATGGAAAGAAATGTCTCTGCTATAAATTAAAATCTTCATTAAAAAATGAGTTTTACATCTGACTATTACACTTCTGTAGGAACCAGGAATATGGGAGTGACCACTGATATTTAGAACATAAAGCTATTGTACAGGAGGAAGAGAAAAATGCAGAGAACAGAACAGCAGCATGTAATGCTGTGTTATGGAGAGTATTATTTTATGGGATATTTCTCCATGAGTTAAATCCTGTCATCTCAGCAAGGGCATCAGGAGCTAGCTGAATATACTGCTGGGATGGTTCCTTGAAACGTGGGAGTAATGACGATCTACAGTAAATGAGGGAGAAATGCCAGAATTATTTTGGCAGTGTTTTAAAAAGAATATCAAAAAAGATCAGAGAGATGATCAGAAAGGAGTATTTATTAAAAACAAAAACAAAAACAAAAACAGAACCTTATTAGGTTACTCTGGTTTCCTATGTGGCCTAGAGGGCACTCCTTTCAGGGAAATAAAGAATACATTTGTTAGGGAAGCAGGACCCTAGGACAGCCAGAGTGACACCAATTTGAGATCGACTCCATCTTAAAACTAGCAAGGCACATTCCTTGTCAGTCATGACCTCTAGTTGTAAGATGTTTGCAGCTAGGGAACAAGTTTGGTAATGCCTACAAGGACACACTCCCACAACAACAGAAAGTCCAGATGTCCCATTACCCATAACAATATACGCTTTCAAGATAATTATAGTTATGCTTTGATGTACTTACACACTAAAATGTCAAGGATAGCTTTCTTTAAATAAGTAAAATAATACATTTTGTCATGCTGTCAGCCCACCTGCACGTAGGCACAGCTTAGTTTAATCTTTACATAGACAAGACCCCTATATAAGAAAAACTTAAAAAAAAAAAAAGATGATGTATTGCTCCGTTTTCTTCTGGGGACGCCATACTCTGTAATGAAGTAGGTTTCAATAAACTATCTCTTCTCACTATACTTGGTGACTTACCTTGAGTTCTTTCCTACCTGAGATCCAGGAACCCTTTTTTGGGGTCTGGATCAGATTCCTCTTCTGATCTTCTGGTGACCACGACAAAGGTACCTTAGAATGAGACCCTATGCCAAGGAAATCCAGTCTAGGCGGCACCAATTCACTAGTAACTGGGGTCTACCCTAGCATCCTATCAAGATTAATATTACCAAGGCCCAGTGGAATTCCTGGGATAAGAGATTTGGGTTAGAGTTCTGGCCCAACAGGGTAAGAGTCCCTGGGGTATAATATTTGGGATAGAGTCACGGCCCAATAGGGTTAGAGTCCCTTGGGTATATTACAGGGCAAAGATGCCTGCCTAAGATTTGAGTTAGAGTTCCAGGCCATGGTATTAGAGTCCCTGGGGTAGGAGATTCAGGTTAGAGTCCTGGCCCAACAAGGGTAGAGTCCCTTGTGTTTAATAAAAATAGAAGCAGCTTTGGAAGATGATTTCCAGTATATGCTTTGGGTTAATCCACCCTGTCTCCTTTGCTGGATATGGGAAAGCTATAGTTCTTGTCATTTTCCAGTTTGTTGCCTTTGCTTTACTGAAGCCTTACTATGGTCCTTATGGCTAGCATGGAGGTTTACTACATTAACTTTCAATGCTCGCTTTCTGACTATTGCCTTTTCAGTTGCTTTTCTTTGTCATGTGGCAGGATAGCACGGGAAACCTGGGGACTTGCAAGATTTGGTCTTGTTATATCTTAACGATTGGAGGGCTCAGATGCTTTTACACCCCATTTTAAAATGTGCATGAATCTTGATCCATTTGGCCAGCTTGGAAACCCAGAGTCCCATTTCCTTGTCTGAAGTTTCAGCCTGTTGGCATTCTGGTGGCTATTTTTGTCCTGCAACTCTAAAATTAAATAGAGTCTTCTAAATCTCTCTATTTCTCTCTTTTCTTTTCTGCCTGCTTGGAATCTACTATTATTAGGCTACTGGTGTTGAGATAAGACTCACTGTTTATAATATTACTAATTCAAGATTACTTGGAGATTTTGTTTTTCTAGCACAGTTCAGCCAGTTCTGGCTAAAATGTAAATGTAATTCTGGCATTTCTCCCTCATTTACTTGCTGCAGTAAGCCATGATCTTGCTACTGTACTCCAGACTAGGCAACAGAGCCAGACTCTGTCTCAAATAAATAAATAAAGCTTTGTATCTGTTTTCATTTATGTACATATATCTGTAAATGCATGGGCAAAATCCTGAAAGAGTACACATCAAACTGTTAAGAGTGATGTCCTTCTGGAAGGAAGTGAGAATGAAAGAGATAGCTTTGGAACCAAGGGGACTTTCACCATTTACTTTATTTGCTAATGTGTGCATTGTTTGAATCTTTTGTAAAACAATATTCCTGTATTTTAGAAAACAATAAAATAAAATAATAGAGAGGTTAAAAAAAATAGAAACTCATTTGAAAGTGAAGGGGAAAAAGGTGGGGAAAAGTCTTTTTTTTTTTTTTTTTTTTCAGACAGAGTCTCACTCTGTCACCCAGGCTGGAGTGCAGTGATGTGGTCTCAGCTTACTGCAGCTTGTGCCTCCCGGGTTCAAGCAATTCTCCTGCCTCAGACTCCCGAGTAGCTGGAGCTACAGGCACATGCAACCATGCCCAGCTAATTTCTGTGTTTTTAGTAGAGACAGGGTTTTGCCATGTTGAGCAGGCTGGTCTCAAACTCCTGACTTCAAGTGATCTACCTATCTTGGCCTCCCAAAGTGATGGGATTGCAGATGTGAGCCACCATGCCCAGTGGAACAGGCTTTTTTTTTTTTCTCAAAAAAACAGTAGTTTTTTATACACTATATACACTAACAACAAGCTATCTAAAAAAAAATCAATGAAACAATCCCATTTATAATAGTTACCAAAAAAAATAAATAAATACAGTTGATCCTTGAACAAAACAGGTTTCAACTGTGCAAGTCCACTTATATGTAGATTTTCTTCTGCCTCTGCCACCTCTGAGAAAGCAAGTTTAAGCTCTCCTCCTCATCATCATCCTCCTCAGCCTACTCAACAAGAAGATGACAAGGATGAAGACCTTTGATGCTCTACTTCCACCTAATGAATAGTAATGTATGTTCTCTTTCTTTCTTTATTTCTTTTTTTTTTTTTTGAGATAGAGTCTCGCACTGTTGCCCGGGCTGGAGTGCAGTGGTGCAATCTTGGCTCACTGCAACCTCTGCCTCCCGAGTTCAAATGATTCTCCTGCCTCAGTCTCCCGAGTAGCTGGGATTACAGGTGTGCGCCACCACGCCTGGCTAATTTTTTGTTTTGTGTTTTGTTTTTTGTTTTTTTAAATACTTTAAGTTCTAGGGTACATGTGCACAACATGCAGGTTTGTTTCATATGTATGCATGTGCCATGTTGGTGTGCAGCAGCCATTAACTTGTCATTTACATTAGGTATATCTCCTAATGCTATCCCTTCCCCCACCCCGCCCCTCTACAGGCCCTGATGTGTGATGTTCCCCTTTCTGTGTGCAAGTGTTCTCATTGTTCAATTCCCACCTATGAGTGAGAACATGCAGTGTTTGGTTTTTTGGAACAGGCTTTTTTAAAAATCAAACTTTAATAAAGTCTAATTTACCTAAAATTTTGGTCCACAACTTTCTTTGTAGGACTTGTTGTGTGTCAGGGTCATTGTCAATTAAGAAAAGTCTATGCTATGGAAAAACACATTCTGAAATTCTGGAATTGTTTTATGTATAAAATGTTAAAACCTGACAAACAGTTCAGGATTTATTGCTTCCTAAGTTTTTGGATTCACGAGCGGGTGAGTGTCTTTTCTTGTCTCTTTCCTTTCCTTTGTTGTCCCCCTTTTTTTTGCAACATACTTAGCCTTCTGAGCCCCGGGAATTATGGAATGCCCATGTTCCTTTATATTTCCATAGGACTGGGGGTTTGGAGCCCCATGCAGAGGTGGATAAAGTGTTTGAGGCTCAGAGGAATATTTTCCAGCACCTACTGCTTCTTGATCCCCCAGTCCCCTTTGTCAGCTGTATAGTTGCTGTCTGTGCCTCATCAGTGATGCACATCACCCTACACTTGCATGCCCTGAAGTTTACACCTATCATTTTCCTTCTAATCTTGATTAGAAGGAATTTTACTTCTTCATTTTGTTTAATTCAGCATCTCTCTGGGAGGCATTGGAAGCCAGAAGCCTCCCTGGAGTCAGTCTTATTGAAAACAAGAATAATTTTGTCTAATTCAGAAGTTCTCTAAAGGTCACTTCAAATTATGGACTTGCCAAAAAATAACATGATGATGAAGTCATAGAGAAAAAGGAATATTTGCACACTGCTGGTAGGACTGTAAATTATTTCAACCCTTATGGAAAGCAGTTTGGTGATTTCTCAAAGAACTCAAAACAGAATTTCCATTCAAACCTGCAATCGCTTTATTGGGTATATACCTGAATGAATATAAATCACTCTGCCATAAAGATACATGCATGTGTATGTTCATCACTGCACTATTCTCAAGACCAGAAAAACGGAGCCAGACAAAATTCCCATCAATGGTAGACTGGATAAAGAAAATGTGGTACATATATATCATGAAATACTACACAGCCATGAAAAAAGAAAGAGATCATGTCCTTTGCAGCGACATAGAGGGAACTGGAGGGCATTATCCTAAGTGAACTAATACATGAAAGGAAAATAAAATACCACATGTTCTCACTTACAAGTGGGAGCTAAACTTTGACTACATATGGACACAAAGAAGGGAACAACAGACACTGGGGCCTACTTGAGGTTGGAGGGTGGAAGGATGATGAGGATCAAAAACTGCATTTTAGTTATTATGCTTATTTCCTGGGTGATGAAATAATCTGTACAACAAACCTCTACGACTTACAATATACCTATATAACAAACCTGCACATTTACCCTTGAACCTAAAATAAAAGTAAAACAACAACAAATACAACAAACAAACGAATTATGGGCTTTAAAATGGTTATTTATGAATCAATATAGAAAGGAACCAGTGAGTCAAGGAGAGAGAGGTGTGAAGAAAGTTATGAAGGATATAGAGATGCATTTTTGTTAAGAAAGGTTATAAAGAAAAGAGAATAATTTCATATGAAAAGGGATTTTGTATGGTAAAAAGGGATTTTGTATGGTAAATTTTTGTCCTAAAAATAAAACGACTGTTTATTTAGAAGAGAGACCTTTAGAACAAGTCAGAAAGTCAAAGCATGCCGTAGATGGTCTTGGTAAGTCATGATAAAGTTTTGTCAACTCTTGTAACTTTTCTTCTTTCCTCCAGTTCTAACTGTTGTTATGCCTTGATGCTAGAATGTTTTATCTCGAAGATCTAGAAAGCAATATTTTCCTCTAGCATAACTTAGTTGTATATTCTTGGTTTTCTTGATATGTCTAAATTTTCAGTGTAATCAGGAAACTTAAGCTGTGTCTGAGTCATGTATCCCCCTGCTATATTCATATACTTGAATACACTCTTCCTGTGTTGGATTAAATTCAAGCACTTTTTTTCATCTGATTTGACTTCTGGGTCATCTAAATGGGCATCTCATAAGGAGAAACAGTCACATAGTGGACAGATTTTTTTTCCTTTTTGATAACTGGCTTAAGAAACAAGATTCTAAAATTACTATACTGTCTTTATGAGGTTTTTAGTTGCTAAAAACTAAGATTTAAAACAGTTAAGGTTTTTATATCCATATAGCCTTTTGCATTGCCTTTAAAGTCTTTTTAATTATCACTTTGGTTAAATGAGTAGCTATGGTTTTACAATCAGCTTGATTCTATTTTGATCAAATATTTTGAGGCTTTTTAACAGCTTTAACAAATGTCATTAAAATAAAAATCCTAAATGAAGTCTCTCACAGTCTTATTGCTGGTGCATATTAAATCTATAAAAAATAATCACTACAGAGTTGTAGACTATTTTCACACCTTCTAGTCAGACTATGAACTCCAGTATCACTACCTTCAGTCTGATAATTATATATACTGGAAGAAACTCAGTTAAAGAGCTCACTGTAGACCCTTAAAAAAGGTCCTTATCAAGTGATATTAACTAATCCTTATGCTGTTACGTTACAAGGCTTTGACTCCAGCATACACAAATCTCATCTAAATAAAGCACTGACTCCTGCCAATATGTAACACCAAACTCAAATTGACCAAAGCCTTGTCTTTAGACCTGGACAAAGATGAAAATCAAAGTAAACTGCTTTCATGAGACACAGGATCAGGACTGTATTAAAAAAAAAATAAGATTCATTTAATAGTTCTGCCTTTTTCTGAAATATACAATTTATTATCTGCCTTAATACTAAATAAATGTTTGGCTACCGATGGGCTTCCCTTTCCTTCGTTCTCAGAACCAGGCAGAGAATATGATCTTTTGTTAAAAACATTGTTAATTCCTTATGCTTACTTTTCCCTCCAGAAATTTAAATATTCATCCCCTCCAGCTCAGGGACTATCACATGAGATTGTAAGGGTTGGTTTTGGAGAATAAAATTAGTTCAGACTCTCCAAATCAAGGATGGGCACACAGATGCCTAAACAGCTGAAGAAAATATGTGTGTTTTACACAGCTAGTTACTACAAGCCAGGAATACAATAGGTCAATGCATAGAATGTATTGATAAGCCCATTTTGTAACCTTGCTTCTTGGCCTTTGATTTTTGGTTTTTATGTGTCTTAAAAGGGTTTAAGTTTAATGAGTGCCGGCCTAATTCCTCCATTACCATCTGGCCTAGAAGAATTAATTGGATATGAGTCTTTTGACTTGAATCCCTTGGCCATAGGGACATGGTGGACCATGGAGGGACATGATGGAGCATCGAAGGACATAATGTACCTGGGGCCAGTAGCACGCCCCCCTGGCATCCATATGGGACAAAATGAAAGCTTGGCTATCGATACTGCCTCTGTCATACCTTGACAAAAAAAGGAGAATATAAAAACAAAATCCTAAGCCACCCTCCCCACACAATAGACACCCACTCTTGGCCAAATGAAAACAAAAACAAAAACAAAAAACCTGAAAAACTATTTCAGGCCATGAGGGCAAACAGGGGGTCAGACATGCCTCACTATACATTTCTCCCCTTGGAATTCAGGCACAAATGACCAGCATTAACTTTAAAATAGTGAACATAAGACCGACAGAACAGACCCTTTATGGCAATAAGATATAAAATTATAAACAGGATCTAAGACCATGCCAGGCAAGGGTTAATTCTCCACTCCAATGTAAACAGAGTTATATGTTACATGCATGTTTTTTCAATATGCATGTGTCAGGACTACCTCCAAAATATTCAAAGCTCCTCTGTTCAAACAGGAGACTTTCATTAAAAACTTAGAAAGAAGGATCCCCTGAAGAGGTCAATTACAATCAAAATGGAAGGGCCCCTATCAGGTATTGTTAAGTACCCCCACTGCTGTTAAACATCAGGGAATCATTAGCTGGGTACACCTTTCCAAGATTAAATCTATTTCTTATGAATTCCTGCAGGCACTGAAAGAAGACGTCACAATCCACACTTGTGAATCCCTAGAAGACCTAAAGCTATTGTTTTCAAATAAACAGATAGGTAACATCCCTAGTCTCCCCTGCAGGTACTCAGTCTTCTTAACAACTCCCTTCTCATACAGGTTTGCATCCCCAACAGATACTTATGGTTATATGGTCACTCATTCAATCAACCTATAAATAACTTTTATCTTATTTGGGATCATAAAACTCATGGTTATCAGTGTATTAATAATGTTTGCTTCAGCAGTCAATGTACAGTAGGACAAGCAAATCTCTCTAACATACAATTATATAACAACACTCACCTGAGAGCTAAGAGCACAATTGGCTTTATATTGGCTAGGGTTGGGGTTGGCATTGGCTTATTGTCCCCATGGGGACAATTGGCCTATCATAAAGCAACTCTTCAAAACTTTACTTCTTCATTCTACATACTGTCTCATAAAATGGTAAAATGGGGGATGCTTCAGGTAAGTTAAAACTTTCCCTTTATTTCTTTGCAGATAGATCAACAGGCAATAGATTAGCACTAGATTAGTTCCCGATTTAAAAAAGAGAGTATGCTCCATAATCAATAAAACCTCCAGCACTTATATAAACACCCCAGGTCAAATAGAAGAATATATAGAGAAAATATATTAACAAGCTGTCTGGTTGCATAAATATTACCAAGGTACCCACCCCAACTGTACTGGTTGACCATTAAAATCACTCCCTTGATTCTCACTTAGATTTTGCCTTATCTAGGGCCTTTGATAACTATCATGTTATTACTAATCTTTGGTCCTTGCTTGTTTAACCTCTTGGGAAAGTTTGTGTCTTCTAGATTACAATTCCACATAAAGATGATGGTGGCACAAGGCTTCCAACCCATCCTATCTTCTGACCCAGGAAATAAAGACATCCTGCCTTTATACCCCTTAGATCTGGCATCCAGATATTTTTTATTCCTCCAATACCAGGCAAGGCCTATGCCCTTAGAATCATCAGGAAAGCATCACAAGGACTTTGCTTGGCTCCCTAGAGGCTAACTGCAAACCCTTATAAGAGAATCGTGACCCAAAGATCATCGTCCACTTTCTGCAGAAAGAAGTTACAGAAGAACAATTTTCACCCTTTATCTCCTCTTAAGATTAAGGGCTCTCTCATAAGTAGAGGGGAGGATATTAGGGAAGTAGGAGCCTAAGAGAACCAGAGTGACACCAATTTTAAATCAACTCCATCTTAAAGCTAGCAAGGCACATACTTGCCAGTCCCAACCCACGATCCTAAGATGTTTACCACTAAGAAAGCATATAGGTGATGCTTGCAAGCACAAACTCCTACAATAACAGAAAGTACAGATGTCCCAGTATACATAACAATGTATGCTTTCAAGATAATTATAGTTGTCTTTTGATTTACTTATACACTAAAATGTCAAGGGCAGTTTTCTTTAAATCAATAGAATAATACATTTTTTCATGCTGTTAGCTCACCTGCACGTAGGCGCAGCTTAATTTACTCTTTACAAAGACAAGACCCCTATGTATATTTTTTTTTTAAAAAAAAAAACAAAAAACAGGAAAAACAAAGACAGTGTGGTCTTCTGCTTTCTTTCTGAGAAGGCTCTACTGTGTAATGGAGAAAGTTTCAATAAATTTTCTCTTCTAACCATACAAATTGCTTTGAATTCTTTGCTGTGCAAGATTCAAGAACCCTCTCTTGGGGTCTGCATCAAGATCTCTTTCCTGCTATCAATTTGGTGATGGGGGCATGTGCATAGCTGAGTAACTCTATGCTAGCTCTCCTCTGTAGACCCGAGTTAATGGTAGGAGATGCTCTCTTAAAAACAGTATGTCTTGTGTCAATACAGCAAAAGGGGTTATAGAAATCTAGAGTGGAGGAACCAGGTTTAAAGGTCATCAAAGTCATCATGGCAACTAGGGAACCTTATTCTACAAGGATTGTGGTCAAGGGCAGCCAAAATCACAGGTGGTATTTATGTTAATCAATATTTCAATGGAAATAAATCAACTCCGACCTGAGAAACTAAATGGAGCTAAAGGTGAATATAATTAATCTGTGATCAGTTTTTTTGCAATCTTTAATAGAAGAGTCACATTGAAGATTCCTAAGATGTTGGTAGAAGGTTTAGACTCTTGCAGCAAAGAACTAGGAACTTTTAGGAAGTGTGTCCTATGAAGACTGAGCTCTGGATCATAGATGATTAAATTATTATATTACCTGAACTGTCCATTTTGATCTATCTACTGTCAGATCCATTAGGTCATATGGTAAAATAGGACCCATTAGGATATACTCTTCACTAACTAGCTCTAACTCTTTGGTGTTCCCATCATAATTGTAGTAAATACTTAAGAAAAAATTCTAAGGTGTATTTTGTCAAGTATTGGAATAATATTGGATATAGAAAATTTATTCATTGGCTATAACAGTGAATGGCATATAAATGACTGTCGATAAATTATTGCCTCATGAATAAATGTCTCTGTTCAATAGGTTTATTATCAAGCAAAAATAAAACAAAATAAAATATCTGTTATTCATCAATATTATATTTAAAATAATTTTTTTCCACAGAAATACGGTATTTCAAATATTGCTAAGGGTATTTCTAATGCTAAGACATTATTATTTTTCCTTTCCTCAAAAATCAAAACAATTTTTACATTTAATTGAAATTGCTTTACGCTTACAGTTCCAAAATCATTGATGAACAGCATCTATAATTTAATCAGGCTATATACTATATTGCATTTATTAATGCTAAATTCATTTCATCTGTGTTTCAGATACATGTGTTTTCCAATGTGAATTTCAGGGCTACAGAATCTAAGACACTGAGATAACTAGTTATTGAGGACTAGAAATTGCCTTTTAATTTAATTCTGTTTATTTTCCATTGTCTTTTATCCATTCCGGAGATGTTTCATTTGCATAGGAAGGTACCAGCATACACTTTAAAGTGTGGTTTATTGAGTGAAAATAGACCTATGTTAAATTTTATGCCAACAATGACACCACCAAATATATTGTTATATAGAAAGGAAATTGGGGGTTCAAAAGGCAGAATGATTAGGCAGAAAATTTTAAAATAATTTTTTATTTTGGAACAATTTTAGATGTAATGAAATTGCAAAGCTTGTATATAGATTACCTATATACCTCTCACCTAAATTCCCCATTGTAGTATCTCACCTTTTCATGGCACATTTTTCTAAAAAACTAAGTTTGTTTTCCTACAAAAACAAAATTGGTATATTATTATTAATTAAACTCCATGCTTCACTCAAATTTTACTAGTTCTACCACTAGTGTATTTTTTTCTGTTCCAATGTCCCATCTAAAATACCAATTACTTCTATTTGCAATGTATAATTAGGCTTTCCTTGGCTGTGATAATTGTCCCAACTTTACTTATTTTTGGTGACCTTGACAGTTTTGAGGCGTAGTTGTGAGATATTTCGTACAATGTTCCTTGATTTAAGTCTGTCTGATGTTTTCCCTGTTCAGACTGGAGTTATAGTTCATGGGAATCATGCTATAGATATGCCATGCCCTTATTATCACACAATACCAGCAGGTAGGTGCTATCACCTTGACTTCCACTAATGACGTTAACCCTGAAAACCTGAATAAGGAAGTGTTTGCTAGATTTTCCCTTTTTGTAACACTTTTTCTTTGGAATCAAGTCACTAAGTCCAGCCAGCACTCCAAGGGAGAAGGGGAATTAAGATCCACTTCTGTTAATGGAGATTATCTACATAAATGATTTGGAATTATTTCATCAAGAAGATTTGTTTCTTCTCACTTACTTATCTGTTTAATAATCCATATCTATCAGTATGGACTCATGCATATTTGTCCATTAATATGGGTTATAACTTAATACTACATTACTTAGTTGCTTTTTTTTTTTCTTTTTTAGTTTGACCATTGGGTACCCACTTGAAAAACTTTCATTAGCCAAGAGAAGCCTAAAATATGCGGTGTCAGAATACTCACTGCTTGAGACTAAAGGTATATAAAACTAATCTTTTTGTTTTTGGAGTCTGTTACTTCTGGTACTACAAGATGCTCCAGATTCATGTTGTATTTTCGTTGCTTTAGCCCTAGAATTAGCCATGTCTCTAAGAATTCCTGATTTTCTTTGAGAATGGTATTTAGAAACCAAAATATGGGTGAAAGGTATACTTTCTTTCTACTGGAACATTACTGATTCATCTCTCAACAGAGAGTCAGGAAATACATGTATGCATACTAACCAAAGTATTCAGACATATCTATATTTATCTTCATGTTTTTGTGGTTATGAATAAATAAAGCTTTTTAAAATATACATATACAGGTTTTTTTGTGAAAATAAGTTTTTAGGAAACTTGACTAAATACCTAGGAGCAATATAGACTTTGTGGTGAGATGCCAAACAGTCTTCCAAAGTGACTACAATTTTTCATGCCCACTAGTAATGAGTAATAGTTCTTGTTGTTTCCTATTCTTGCCTGCATTTCATAGTGTCAGTCTATTTTAGATTTTATTTATTGTAATGGTGTGCGCAATAACATATCATTGTTGTTTATGTTTACATCCCCTTAAGGACAAATGATGTTGAGAATTATTTTGTATTCGTATTTGTCATCCATCTACCACTTTTGCTGAAGTATCTGTACATATCTTTCGTCCATTTTTGAATGGGACTTTTAAGTGTTCTTTATGTATTCAGGAAACAAGTCCTTAATCAGAAATGTTGTAATTTATTTTTGTTCCATTCACAGTTTGTACATCACTTGTCTTAAGAAAACCTTTAATATGTGCAATTTCTTGGTTTTTAATGGGCTATACTTTTGATGTTATATCTAAAAACTTATCACCAAATCCAAGGTCAAAGACATTTCTTTGCCTTTCTTTCCATAAATTTTATAACTTTAAATTTTTATACTTAAATCTATGATCTATTAAGAATTCATTTTTTGGATATAAGTTGTGAGAGTCATAAAGTTGGATGAGGGTGAGCACAGCTGGTAGCACCTACATATGTCTAACAGAATCTACCAACCATCTGAAAGAAGTCATTTTTAGCTTAGTGCCAAAATTGGCTATAATAATTTTGTTCTACTAAGTGCATTACCAACATACAATTAATAATTGAACACTCAAGAAAACAAGGCACCGCGAGTAAGAACAAGAATAAAAGAATGTTTCTTGGGGTTAATTTTTAAATGCCAGTTTGAAACTATAGCCAGGGAACAGGATTTGCTAAAAACAAACAAACAAAAAACACAAAAAAAGATTAAAATAAAATCTACAAATAAAAATAAAATAGCCAAATTTATTTTTTTTTATTTTAAAACATTTTATGGATACATAGGTGTAAATATTTAGAGGATAAATGCAATATTTTGGTAGAGCCCTATGTTGCCTAATAATCACATCAGGGTAAATGAGGTATCCATCACCTCAAGCATTTATCATTTTTTGTGTTATAAACATTCCAATTATGGTCTTTTAGTTATTTTTCAATGTACAGTAAATTATTGACTGTATTCACCTTGTTGAGCTATCAAGTACTAGATCTAATTCATTCTAGTTAACTATATTTTTGTACCCATTAATCATTTCTACTTGCCCCCTACCCCACTACCCTTCTTGGCCTCTGATAACCATCATTCTATTCTCTATCTCCATGAGTCCAATTGTTCAATTATTTAGCTCACACAAATGAGTGAGAATGAGAAATTTATCTTTCTATGCCTGACTTATTTCACTTAATACAATGACCTCCAGTTCCATTCCTATTGTTGCAAATGATGGGATCTCATTTTTTTATGGCTGAATGGTATTCCATTGTGTATAGGTACCTCATTATCTATTTGTCTGTTGATGGACACTTAGATTGACTCTAAATCTTGGTTATTGTGAATACAGCTGCAACAAACATGGGAGTGCGGATATCCCCTTGATATACTGATTGCCTTTCTATTGGGTATACACCTAGCAGTGGAATTGCTGGATCACATGGTAGCCCTATTTCTAGGTTTGAGGAACCTCCAAGCTGTTCTCAATATAGAGAGACAATATATATATTGTGAATTCTGGAAAATATATATAATTATGAATTCTGGAAAATTCTGAGGCACTATCTTTCTATATATTGCCTGTGACTTGGTTCTTGACTGTGAATCTCCATTTTTTATACAGTTTTATACATTTGCTTTATCTTCTAGAACTCAACATTTCTCTAGAAGAGACAACCCATATATCCATATAGGGGTGTAGTTTCATTCTACACTATATATATATATAGTACATGTATATATACATATAGTATGTGCATATGTATATATGTTATATATACTATATATACATTACATACATAGTGTATGGATATCTGTATGTGTATATATAGTGTATATATGTATACTATAGTGTAGAATAAAACCACATGGATAGTTTCATTCTATATGGATATATACATCTCCATATATATGATATATATATATCTCTCCATATATATGTACACATAATGTCTTTTTAATAATAATAATATCAAGCTAAAATACAACATTTTAGAATTGTAGCCATAAAACAGAGTTTACAACCCACATTCTGCTGTCAACTGATAACCCCAGGTTATTTCTCTCATTATTTTATCACTTTAAATTCTTCATGGTCTTCCTTTATTCTGTTATTTTCCTAACCATTGTTCTTTACTGTGAAAGCCACATGAATAGATTATCTATCCAAGATTATATCTTCATCTGCCTGGTATACTAATACCATTTGACCATTGTCATCTAAAAAATATAAATAAGAAGAAGATAGTCTGCTACTAATTTGAACTAAAATTATACACTTAAAATATCTAACATTGGATTAAAGTTCTGCCTGTGTTCAAATTTGTAAGGACAATATGATTCTATCAGATAATGTATCTCTTTGTACATCCAGTTTCAGAAATTACTCTACATAGCCTGTGCATGTTTTTCCTCTGTATTTACACTTGCTGCTGTTGTTACTTGGCTCCGTATCTCATCTTAATTCCCTGACACCAACTCCTAAACTGATCCGTATCTTGGCAATTCCCTGTGACAATCTACTCACAGTACCATCTACTGTTGAAAGATAAAGTAATTATTTTTTACCTCCTGAATAACAGCAGCAAATGACCTTTCAGTTTTACGAAAACAGTGACTGATGATTACTGATAAGTTTTTAGTCAAGACTAAGGTGAACCACCCTGATTCACATTGCAACATGGTAAATATAATTTTGGAAGCCTCAGGATGTTTCCATCCCCCACCTCTTCCAGAGATACTTCGGCTTCATTGCTAGACCGACAGCTTAGTTAATTTCATCAAATCAGTCAAAGAATAGTGACATGGACTTGATTGTTTAGTACATTACCTGAATCTAAGGAGTCCAGGAGTCCACAACAGGAAACGTATTTCCAGGCTTCTTCCAGGTGTCTCACCTCACCCAAATGTTAATCCTTTCCTCTCAACTCTGTGTTCCTGGGAGCGGTTGCCCTTTTAAATCTGGAGGGGACTTGCGTGGCATAAGATAAATTAGATTCTTGGTTTGGTTTATTTGGCTTCTTTTTTCCTCTTGTCTGTATTCTGCTTAAGTTGTTTCTTACCGTGTGCCCTTTTTCCCTCCTAACCAAAGGGCTGACCCCCCCAGGAGAAAGAATAGAGCAGGCTTTGTGTAGCTAATGAGAGAGTGTAGGTTCCTGGGAAACTGGCTACCAGCATCACAGTAACTCTCAAAGATCTTTGCACTTAACAAGCATTTACCAAATACTTTTACCATGTGCAGAGCTCTCTACTAAGTTCACTCTTCTTTTCTTCTTGAGAATACGTCCAGCAACTTAAAGTGCTTACATAAGTGTGTCATTTAACCTTACTGAATTTTATTCACTCATCCCGGAAAACTATATAATACCAGTTAAGCACTGATATTTGATATTTAATTAGGAGCTAATATCTTTCTTGCTAATATATATATATTAATATATGTATAATATATATATCTCCTGTAAGATATATATATAATCTCCTATAAGATATGTATGTAAATAAAATACATATTTCCTATTAAATATATAGATATGTATGTGTGTATATACATTATATATGAAATAAAAATGATTATTTTAATGTCTATCATATTCTTATTTTTTAAAACAAAACTTTATGTCAATAATATTTATAAAGGCAAATAGGAGAGCAAACAGAAAAGAACATCATACTTGTATCCAAAATTAATTTTAATGGAACAAGAAGATTCTGTATACAAACACTTAACCATAATTATTTTGTAAGCATATGTACACACCTCCATGCTTACACAGATGTGTGCATATGTAAACACAAAATCTATATATACATTCACATATCTAATCAACATGCACACATATATACTTAGAGAATACATACACATACACATACATATATTCTCACTATGCTTATGTCTTAATTTATTGACCTTTTTCCTAATTTACAAAGCAAGCTTATCTGAAATGATTAATTTGAAAACATACTGGGTTCAGGAATAACATCAATTTTGCATTTTTTTCCTATTTCTATGTAAACAAAAGAAAATGCAATTATGTTTGGAAAGTGATTTTTTTTTTTTACTTTCTATGGTAATAATAGGGCTTAAATAAAGAAAAATAAATGTTTTAAAACTGAAAGAAAGGAAAGTACCTTATATATATTAGGACACCTAAAAAATGTATCAGCTCTAAGACCAGACTATTATACATGCTGTTAGAATTTAGCTTTACAATAACCTTTTGTTTCCTTCAGAAAACATTTTGTAAGAGGTCACAGTAAGTTGTGAATTTGTCTGGGTTTGTCTGATTGTTGTGTATATGTGTGTGTGGACACACAAACATGGGGCACCTACAAAGCACTGAGGTACTATAATGAATGTATACAGTGTGTGCCCTGTTTTTTACATGTGATTTTGGCCAAGTTTTATAAAATAATTATTCCATTTTCTTGTATGTATTTATCTCATGATTTTGGAAAAGGGGTTGTTATGGCTGAATTGCATCCCCTCAGATATTATATGTTGAAGACCTAACAGCCAGCTCATCAGAATGTGACTGTATTTGGAGATAATATCTTTAAAGAAGTGGTTAAGTTAATATGAGGTTATGAGGGTGGGATCTAATTCAATATGATTTGTGTCCTTATGAGGAGAAGAGATTAGGATGCAGACCTACACAGAAGCAAGACCTTGTGAAGACACAGTGAGAAGGTGGTCATCTGTAAGACCAGAAGAGAGTCCCCAGAAGAAACAAACTCAACCTTATCTTGAATTTTTTGCCCCCAGAATTGTGAGAAAATAAATTTCTGTTGCTTAATCCATCTAGTCTGTGCTACTTTGTCATGGCAGACCTGGCAAGCTAATACAGGAGTAAGAGATATGTATCTATATCAGTTTTTCCCTCCTCAGGCCTTTATTTATAAATCAAAATATTCATTACTAGCCATTTCATAATGTCCTTGGTTAAGGTAAATGTGCACACTCACTTATACAGAAGAATAAAACATTTAAATACTACTGTTAATATGTTTGATGTAAGATTTAGGAGAAATGTGGGCTTTGTTTCAGACTTTCTAAAAATAATGATTTTTATGTCCATCATATTCTTGTTTTTGAAAACAAAAGTTTATGTCAATATTATTTGTAGTGGCAAATAGGAGAGTGAAGAGAAAAGAATATTTTATTGTATCTAAAATTAATTTTAATGGAGCAAGAAAATTGTATATATAAATACCTAAGCATAATAATTTTGTAAACATTCTTTCTGTTTCTTCAATAGATTCCATTGGGACTAACTGCAGGAGTATCATAAAACTGGCTCGCTAGTTGCTGTTTTACTTTGTCTTATGTTATTTTTATCTTTTCCTTTATTTCTCCCAGTTTACCCAAAGTGGCTAAGAAAAGAACCATGGCATATAATTAAAATTTAGCATTATTAGTTTATCTTTGTTTCAATAAGTATATTAATAATTCTGAAGGATTACAATATTAGTAAAAATACTAGCCCCTTACCAAGTTGACAAGTGAAAATTCACTTGGCAGCAATTGGTTTTGATTTCCAAAGAAGTTCATTGACGATGTGCTCATTTTTAAGCAATATTGTAAAACTTGTGCTTTTATATATTGTCTCTAAATGTATAACCACATCTGTTATATAGATTTAAAATATATAAATAATATTAATAATCTGCTGAAAATCTAGATTACTTGTGGGAATTTTATTATAGTTGTTACCGATTTTCCAAAAGACACACCAATTTTGAAACTAGATTTAAAGTTTCTTATTCAAATAACTAAATATTTCCATAGTTAATTTTCCCTAAACACATAAAGATTTTTTGTCACTTAATGTATAGTACCTTTAATCTGATTGCATATGTACAATAGCTATGTCTCCATGTTTGATGGAAAAAAATGAGGTTGCTCAATTCAAATGCCTACAATAAAAAAAAATGTATTTATTTAAGCAGAATAATGAGTAGACATAAGAGAATGTTGGGGATTTTGGCAAACTGGAAATCAATCACTACATCTAAAGAGATTTAGAAATACTATTTGTTTGACACATCTGGTCAAAATAAAAGATGCTTGCAGTCTAAATAGGTCTCATTGGCAATACATCCACAGTGCTTGCATAAATAAATATTTGTGATGCTCTATATTTTCAATAGGCACAGAAATAAAATGTGAACTTGAAATGTATTATTATTGATTTTGTTTTAAATATGATTTGTCTAAAAATGAATTAATGTAAAGAATCCAATAATGATACCTACGTATCAGTAAACGATGAAATTAAATTGGAAATATATGCTACTCTGTGGATAGTAAAATACGAGATACAAAAAATGGAATAATTAATAGTGAATCCAAGTAGTAGAGATAGTTAAGCTTGACAACATTTTTTATTGATACATAATATTTGTACATATTTATAGGGTACATATGATATTTGTTTATGTGCATAGAATGTGTAATGACCAAGTCAGGGTATTTAAGGTATTCATCATCTCCAGTATTTATCATTTCTATGTGTTGAGATCATTTCAAACCCTCTCATCTGGCTATTTTCAAATATACAATACCTTGCTGTTAATTATAGTCACATTACTCTGTTAACCAACCTCACAATTTATTTTTTCTATCTAACTGTGGGTTTGTACCCATTAATCAACCTCTTTTCAATCACCCTCCCCCATATACATGCCGTTAATAGCCTCTGATATCTATCATTACAATATCTGCCTCCATGAAATCAACTTTAGCTCTCACATGAGTGAGAACATACGATATTTGTGTTTTTATGTCTGGCTTATTTCACTTAACATAATTTCCTCCAGTTCCATTTATGTTGCTGCAAATGACATGATATGGTATTATTCGTGCATCCTTTGATGGACACTCATGTTGTTTCCCTATCTTTGCTATTGTGGGTAGTGCTACAATAAACAAGAAGTTGCAGGTATCTCTTTGGTGTACATACTCCCTTCACTTTGGATAAATGCCCAGTAGTGTGACTGGTGAATCCTATGGTAGCTCTATTTTCAGTTTCCTGAGAAATCTTCATACTGTTTTTCATAGTGCCTGTACTAATTTAAATTACTGCAATGTATGAGTTCCCTTTTCTCCACACCCTCCCCAGGATTTATAGTTTTTTGTTTGTTTGTTTGTTTTTGAGAGGGAGTCTTGCTCTGTTGCTCAGGCTGGAGTGCAGTGGCGCCATCTCAGCCCATGGCAACCTCTGCCTCCCAGGTTCAAGTGATTCTCCTGCTTCAGCCTCCTGAGTAGCTGGGATTACAGGCGCCCGACACCACTCCCAGCTAATTTTTGTATTTTTGTATTTTTAGTGGAGATGGGGTTTCACCATGTTGGCCAGACTGGTCTTGAACTCCTGACCTCAGGTAATCCACCCACTCATTTCGGCCTCCCTAAGTGCTGGAATTGCATGTGTGAGCCACTGCGCCAGGTAGTTTTTTGTCTTTTTAATAACAGTCATTCTAACTGGAGAAAGATACTATCTCGTTGTGGTTTTAATTGGCATTTCCATGATGATTAGTAATGTTGAGCATTTTTCATGTACCTCTTAGCCATTTGTATGTCTTCTTTTGAGGAGTGTCTATCCATAGTCTTTGTTCCTTTTTTCAGGGAATTATTTATTTGTTTGTTTTACTCGACTTGTTTGAGTTCCTTATATATTCTGCATATTAATCCCCTGCCTAATTAATAATTTGCAAATATTTTCTTCCATTTTGTGAGTTGTCTTTTTTCTTTGTTGATTGTTTCCTTCACTCTGCAGTAGCTTTTTAGTTTAATATGGTTCCATTTGTCTGTTTTTTGTTTTTGTTGCTAAAACTTTTGACGTCTTTGCCTAACCCAATGTTCTGAAGAATTTTTGCCTATGTTTTCTACTAGTAATTTTGTAGTCTGAGGTCTTAAAATTTAGTCTTTAATCCATTTTGGGTTGATTTTGTATGTGGTAAGAGATAATGGCCCAGTTTCTTTCTTCTGCCTATGAATATTCTGCTTTCCTAGGGCCATTTATTGAAGAGGATATCCTTTCCCCAATGTATGTTCTAGGTGCTTCTTTTGAAAATCAGCTGGCTCTAAATATGTGAATTTATTTCTAGGTTCTCTATCTATCCTGTTGCATTGGTTTATGTGTCTGTTTTCATGCCGGAATTTTATACATTTCTTTTTCAATGAAATTGGTCACTGGAGAATTATTGTGTTCATTTGGAGAGGGTCACATTTCCGTGTTTTTTAACATGTTTCTTATGTTCCCACATTGATGTCTGTGCATATGGTGTAACAGTTGTTTCTTCTGATTTTTGGGACTTGTTCTCATAGCAGAGGACTTTGCCTTGAAGATGTATCTATGGTGCTGGTTGGGTAGGGCATTTTGGCTTTGATTCTGGTCGAGTATATTAGTGTAGTCTATTTATTTATTCATTTATTTTTTTGGCTGTAAACAAAGTCAATCGTGTCTGTGATTTCTTCAGTGTCTTAGTGTGTGGTTGTTAGTGGAGGCTGTGGTGAAGTTTGGCTGGGAAGGGAGCTCCAGCTGGGCCAGTCCTTGGGCTCCGGTAGTGGCAGTGGCTGAGCATGTCTGTCTTTGATTCTTAGGGTGGCATATGCTGACACAAATGTTCAGACAGGCTGATTATTGGGCCTTCAGATAGCTTGCTTAGGTGCCGGTAGTGACAGTGGTGGGTCAGGAGGGTGGGCGGACTCTCAAGCCCCTGGCAGCTGGTATGTTATGGGCGATGGCAACAGCAGTGGTAGGACAACCTCTGGCTCCTAAGAGGTTTGTGCTGGTGTTGGTGGTGGCTGTGATGGGCCAGGTGGACTAGTCGCAAGGACTGCAGGTAGTGTGTGTAGGTAGAGGCCAGCTGTGCTCGTAGCGGCAGGCTAGGTGGGCCCATTCTTAGGCCCCAAGGAGGTGTTCCTAGATGCCAACAGTGGTCAACAGGGCAAAACAATCCCATGGCCCTTGGATTGTGTTCTCCTGAGCTGGTGGAACAGTGCAGGGCAGGGCAAAACTGTCCTCAGGCCCCTGCATTGTGTATATGGGCACTGGCCATGGTGGGCAGAGGCAGGGAGCTGCCCAGAGCCCCATGCAGTGCTCAGTTGGAAACAGCAGTGGCAGTGGCAGGCAGGAGCAGCCTGCATCAGAGAGTGTACAAATGCCCTGTGGCCTTGTTGCTGAGAACAGCGGGTCACTGCTAATGGCTTGTGCTTTGGGGCCTGGTGGTAGAGCCAACAGTGGCAGCAGCTGTGCATAAGAGATAGTGGAGCTCCAGGGATGTGGAGATGCACGACCTGTGGTGCTCCAGGGCAGGATGCAGCCTGATCCCCATCAGACTGGGCCCTCAAAATGCTGCAGCTCCTTAGGTTTTGGAAGAGTGTGAGACCCAGTGTGAGCTCCCTCTTTGGAATAATGCTTTTGTGTTGTTTCCAGGCAGTCTCCTAGTTAGTGTCAGGGCCCAAGAGAGTCCAGAGACTTTCCCATGGCTAAGATTGCAGGAGTCTGTGGTAGGGATGGGGACCACTCAGGACCCCTCACTTACCCTTTTTGCACGTTGGAGAACTACTCGTGCTCCAAGCCAACCCAGGACAAACAGGCTGTCTTGCTTACCTCCCCTTCCTTGGCTTAGGTATTTCCTGTCATTCCTCTCTTGAATTACATTGTTATCCCTTAGATTCGTTATAGTAAGTTTGATAATCTACTCACTATTTTGGTTCTTATTTGTGGAGGACGTGAATGCCAGATGCCTCTAGTCAGTCATCTTAAGTTTGACAACTTTTTTAGCCCATAGAACACCTGCCAGCTCTTCATATTACATAGAAGTGCTTATTTTAATCACAAAACTAGATTTAGAATGTAAACCATTATCTTATTAACTATGTGTAATTTGTCTTAACTCATCATTCTTCCCTCTGTATAGTAACACAACCCAGTGGCAGCAAATCTTTGGCCTTCTGAGTCCCTGTTTATGTGCCTTATCACTAAAAGGAACAATAAGCACTTCCTTTTCCGGTTCACTAATCTGAGGGTGCATTTTTAATTCCATTCTTTTTTTAGTATTACGATGGGAGGGAACTGGTTGTCTGCCTACAGACATATTGACATTTAACATTATGAAAAAATGCAAATAACAATGTGTTTCTGGACTATAACTGAGAAGGTCTCAAAAAAGCTTGACCTTTCAGGGTTTTATGTAAATAAACACCATGAAATTTTATTCTAAAGTAATCATATACAAGAAAAACTCAACGCACATAATAACAGAAATGTTAATAAATCTCATATTTTTTTAACCAAATAAGTGAATAATGTATTCATTGAACTTACTCCCCACCCCACCCTACTCTTTTCACCTTAAAGGTCAGAGCTGATCCAGCTAAATAGTTTACCTTTATGGACATACAATGACAAAATAATAGTGATAAGAAGACAGAATAAAAGCAAGCATACTTACAAAGTGATCTAGTGGATGAGGTGATTCTTTGACTAGCATTAATGTCATTCTCAAACTTGTATATATGGAAAGCAAAAAAAAATTAGTGAATAAACTATGACTATTTAGAAATAATTTCAAAGATGCTATCCACAAAATGTAAACTGGTGAAATGTTCTGAGTAAGATTTAGCATAATTAGGTCATTCTTTCCTTGTATATGTCACTGTCTTACTTGGTTCTATAGTTGAGCTAAATTCCAAAGCAGTGAAAAATTCTACAGGAAGCATAATGCACCACACATAGTGTACATGGAAGAATCTTATATAACTAGAGGCTCCTTTCTTCTAGATTTAGCCAAATACATTATTCTAGTTTCTTACAGTCACTTATTCTTCACTTGGATCATGGCAAATTGACATTTCTTACATGAATATAATAATATTACTAATGAGATATACAACCAAATTATATCAATGATGGCTTTAAATTTCAAAGCCATCAGTGATGGCTTTAATATTTAAATATCATATTAGTTCACAGTACAAATCAGTGATGTAGTTATCTATGCCTTTTTTCTTTGTTTTCTTTTTCCTTTTTTGTTTTTTTGCAAGAGGTGAAAATGAGGCTTAGAGACATTTAGAAATACATTTAATGCCACGCAGCCCATGAAGCTTCAAGCCCAGATTCATTCACTTGAAATCTACATACTTTCTAGCACCAGGCAAACTTCCATTTGGTATTCATCATACCTCGCTCCTATGTTCCCTGTTACCTCTCTGGCCCATTCATTTTGATTTCCTTATAGATTCTTCTTATCTTTTCTTCCTTTAAATAGCATTGCATCCATACATTTTCCTAGGCCCTCACTTTTTTTTCCTCACAATCCTACAATAGTTTCAGAGGGATTTTAATCTATCTGTATGACTTTAGTTGCTGAGATAGAAAATAGGTAAAGATATAGATATATAGACACACACAACATGTGGATATACAAACATATTTGTGTGCTTGTGTATATTGTGTATATTTAGATGTGTGGGTGGGATCCACGAAGCGCATGCAAATAAACATTTGGTCTCACATACACTGACAATTTCCTGAAATCATTTGTTGAGGAATGTCAAATCTGTTACTATAACAATTAGCAGTCACATCACAGAAACAATAAAAAAAAAAGCTCATCATCTTTGAAAACCATCTGAGGGTGCAAGTTTTTAAAATTAATCTGTCTTGCTTGATTGCATTTAACTTCCACACCTTCCATTTTCAGTCATTATGACACAGTTCACAGCAACTCTATTTACAAACTATGTAAAATCATAATATAGGAAGATGAGTCATGGAAATAAGTACATAACATTCAGAATGGTAATAACTGACAAATATTATGCAAAATACAGCATGAATATTCAATCATCTGATTCTATATCAGGGCACTTTTTTTTTAATCAAGTTGTCTGTGAACAGCAATTTGCTGACACAAGGCATAAAAATATCCAGAGGATTCACACATATATAACAAAATTCCTAACAGTATTTAGAATTGGACCATGGGACAGTGTCTCGGGATATTTAAAGGAAGTCTCATTGCTTCAGTCATTTAATATTAGGCTGGACATATTTTGGAGAATATAGCTAAGCAAATAGTATCCTACTAACATATTTCTTGAGGATGGATACACTTATTTAGTGGTCTTTTTTTGTTTTGAAACTCTATAATATTATGAAACTTTCAACTAATATTTAAATTGTTTCCATAGGTCTTGAATCTACTGTATAAACTATATTTGTAGACATTGTAAGCAAACAAACCATTTTTGAAGCTGTTTTGAACATCTTAAGAATGTTGTCTATGCAATATCAGTTTATTTTCTTGATTAATAATACCTACATTTCTGAACTTTTCATCATTTTAGCATAACATCACAAATCTGTGACATACAATTGTTAAATAAGGAGTCATTCTGATTTTAACTTGTCATATTTACAGATTTTTTTTAAAAAAACACCTTAGTGTTTGCAACTGCGATAAACAGAGTGATGCTATATAACAGTATGTTTATATTAAATTAAGGAGAAAATATTTTAGAAGTGTCTGGATATAGTAATTTATTTGTAAGTGATTGATGGTTAAAGAAAAAAGAGCCAGCAACAATTTAAAATACCACAGTATCATCTATAATAGGGAAAGGGTCACATTAGTACCCATTTATTAAATAATAATTTTAAAGGACCATTTTTAAATGGAATAACAAAAATATAACAAATTCCAATAACCATAGAATAATGTCAATATTTAACAGAATATCTTCTAATCTTGCTTTTCTGTAAGTGGAATATTATATAAATATTATAAAGATACATATCATATAAATGTTTAAGATTTTTTTTAAGATTACCTAAGGGAAATAAAATTCTTTAATTTTTGTAGTTAAAATAGTTTATTTTCAGGTTAGGAAAATTACCAGTGCTATAATGCAAATGACAGAGGCTTTAACATCAGCTAAAACATTCCCAACGCACTTCTTTTAACTCTCATTAGATAAGAGACTACTTACTGGGAAATTTCCGGATTCTGGAAGTGCCCTCTGACTTGCAGTCAGAGAGACAGTATACTTTCTGCTACGTAATCTTCTCTGCTTTTTTTCTTCTTCTTGGCAAACAAAGTAGAACAAGCCAGCTTTTATTCCCTAAGTAAGCTACTACTCTTTAGACTTTTTCCCAGATTTATTAGGGAGACAGAGGTTATCTTTCTTTGTCTTGTCTTCTGTTTTCTCTTATGACACATAAAATCAAATGCTATTAAAATTTAGGGCCTTTTGAATTATCATGGAAGTAATCTTACCTTTTCCTGGTTTTATGTTTTTTTTCTTCCTATATAAAAACAAACAACTTTTAATATTTGCCACTTTGTAAAGCTTATATAATGAGTATAATAAAATATTCTAATTCTTGTTTTGTAAAATATTTATTTGACTTAAAAATCACATTTGATTTTTATTCCCTAGGTCTTAAATTCTCAAGCAGGTGAACCAATTTCGACAAAGAGACTTTGGTAATTACATATGTGGAATATAATCTTTAACTTGTAGGAATACTTTAATATCACTAGGAATCTGGAGGATGACCATTACATATTCATTTAGTCAGCAATGCAAACACTCTACCACCAGTTTTAGGCTAAAGGTGGAATACAACATTCTTGGGTTGAAAAGTCCCAAATAATATAGGAGTGATCATCAAATATTTCCAAGTCACAATGTTTCTTGAAAGTTCTCAAATGATTTTACCACATGAAGTGGTAGTCACATCCACTTAATTAATTTTATAGCAGATAACTTCTAGAAGATTCTACAGACAGATTGAGAAAAACTTTTTATTTGACATAAAATCGTAAAGCTTTAGAGATATTTCATCCTGACCAATTTTCCTGATACCTATTGATGGAGTTGTAAATTGCAATTCTATGTGTCTCAGGGATCCACACTCGGAGGATACATAATCTAGGTGTGACTTTGATAGAAGGTGGAAGTTCTGCCTATGCTCTAACTGGAAAAGCTGTAAACTTTTGGTGGTATGGACACATTTTGCAGCCAATTTTACCTGATTTCTGTCACTTGTCTGCTCATATTGTATTTCCTTTAAGAACTCTTCCAATACTGTGATCAAACTTCACGACCCTGGAGTCTTAAATTTCTTAGTGTAAAAAATGTGGATTATGTATTTGAAAAAATGACAGAGCTATCTAGGAAAAGCATTGTGTGTGGCCCAACCCAGTCCACAGAAGAATTAGTTAACTGAAGTACATGAGACAGGAAAAAGAGACAGTGGAAGTCTCTAGCAGAAAGCAAAAATCTATGTCTTACTCTTTCTTCTCATTCTACTTTGAAAGTCCTTCAGTTGCCTACATTTAACAAAATAAAAAGTTAATTACCAATTAATTCTATTCAGTCTGCATTACTGTTATTAATATTAGACCACAAGAAAATAGCATTAATATTCAAATATTTAAAAATTGTTTTTTATTGTTAAAACATTTAAATTAATTTGGATGCAAGCCTTGGCCATCCCATAGTAGGTTACAATTTCTGTAGATAACTATATAGGTTACTTCTTTTGCATTTATTTATTTTTAGAATTCTTCTCTATAAAATGTCATGACAGAAAAATATATATTTTTTAAAATAAAATATTTTCAACGTTTGCATGTAAATCCAGAGAACAGAGAAGGTCCAGACACAATGTACATGAGAAGGCAATGAAGATAATAATTTGATTATTGTAAATAATATTAAGGTGATTTCAAGTGATATTTATGACTCTGTATGGGTAATTGCAAAACACAAGTAACGTAAGGTGATACTCCTTTTAAAATCTTTGTAAAAGCAAAATACAAAATACCTTTCATATATCCATATAACATTTAAGGACATTTTATAATCATTTATGTTAAGAGATTTCCAAATGTGTAAGTTGCAGAAGTAAAATAATTTGGTAAAGGACAAATTTACTATTTGCAATCTCTTCCTTACAATGCTGTTATCTTTTGATTTTTCTGTATCATCTGCTCCAAATTTAGGAGTTTTTTTCTAAGTATAATATCATATAGTTATTTTCATTTCATACACAGCCATCAAAATAAGTATAAGGTATCTAAAGATTTTGTTTATACTAAGTGGATGGTATTATTCACTATCTGATGCAATTTTATATTCAACATAATATTCCTTGCAGATCTTCACACAGCAACATATGTAGAGCTCTTTGATTCATATTAACAAGGGCAAAGGAGCTAATCGATTTCCATTTAACCAACATTTAAGGTTTTTAACATTTTTAGGTTGAAGTTATTTAAAAATAAAAAATATTTTTATCCATTTACCTTTGCCAGTATTTTAAAGTAAAGACAATTTAGAGATTGCCAAATCGCTACATAGTTTTCATTAATTTGTTGGCCCATAGAATACTCAACAGTGCCTTTTCTCCACGTACTAATCAAAACTTGAAGTTTTTGGTTGGGTGCGGTGGCTCATGCCTGTAATTCAAGCACTTTGGGAGGCTGAGGCGGGCGGATCACCTGAGGTCAGGAGTTCGAGACCAGCCTGGCCAACATGGTAAAACCCCATCTCCACAAAAAAATTAGCCGGGTGTGGTGATGTGCCCTGGAGTCCAAGCTACTCTGTAGGCTGAGGCACGAGAATCGCTTGAACCCGGGAGGCAGAGGTTGACTGAGCCAAGATTGCGCCACTGCACCCCAGCCTGGGTGGCAGAGAGAGACTCTTGTCTCAAAAACAAACAAGCAAACAAACAGAAAAAACTTGAAATTTTCTTTTATAAAAGATAACTTTAAAATATTTTCCAAATATATGCATGGAAAAATTGGGTTTTTAAAAACATTACTACATATATTTATTGACAATTGATATTATTTATTATTTTTTCTGTGAATTGTTTGTTCACATACTTTGTGCATTGAAATAATTTTTTAATACAAATTTCTGTTTTTATATTAAGGACTTTTGTTGTTAGTATCATCAATATTTTCCAGCTTATGTTTTTTGTCTTAATTTGTATCACTATTCTGACATTACATTCATCTATTCATCTAAAATGTTTCTGAGTCAAAATAATCGATCTTATAACTGTATCACTGAATGATCTGAATTTGGTTGGCACATCAAGAAACAGCTATATAACAGCTATATAATTCCCCAGCATTAGTCCACTCTGTAGGCTTTTGATACTTATACTTTCTCAGACAGATCCCAGAAACATTTGCATTAAATTGCTAAGGCTACCATTTCAAAATAACAAAGACCAAATAGCTTAAACAACAAAAATTTATTTTCTCACAGTTAAAGAGGCTAAGAAGTTCAATACCAAGGTGTGGGCAGGGTTATTTTATATTATTATTATTTTTTTTTTCTGAGGCTTCTTTCCTTGGCTTGTAGATGGCCACCTTCTCACTGGGTCCTCATGTAGTTTTTCTTCTGTGAGTGAACCTCTCAATATATGAATTTTATTGGGACAAAATTCAGGCCATAACAAAATCCATGCTATATATAAGTAGAAGTTTTTTAGCCTACACACCTGCCTTTGTTCACAAGTATAGCGTCTATCCCCCTGGGACGTTATTTTTTGTTGTATCTGAATATCCCATCTCCCATTCACCAGTGATAGAATCTGTAACTGTTTGCTGGTACATGGCACTGCAGACTAAAGAAGCTATTGCCTTAGACTCTGTACATATATCTAGATGTGGCTATATTTTTGCTTGATGAAATGTAAAATTAATTATGCAACTTTGGGAAATTTTCCAAAAGAGTGTAAGTATGCTATTCATTTTCTCTTTTCTCTTTCCAGCTACCATGCATTCAGTTGTGAAATGCAGATCCAATATAGCCACCTATAATGAAAAGTTATACATGGAATTTCTGTGTTGAGGATGGTGGAACAAAAGCATAGGTAAAGCTTGGGGTTCTGCTAGTCATGCTGGTGCCATAGTAGGTTGAGATGCTTGCATTTAGAAACTATAGCGTTATCCCTCAGTATCCATGGGAGTTTGATCACAGGAGCCACCTGCAGATACCAAAATCTGCAGATGCTCTATTTCCTTATATAAAATGGTGTTGTATTTGCATACAACTTGTGCATATCCTCCTGTACACTTTAATCCCTAGATGACTTATAATACCTAAATGCAATGTAAGTGCTATGTAAATAGTTGCTATACTGCATTGTTTAAGTAATGATGACAAAAAAAACTGTATATGTTCAGCGCAGTCACAATCCATTTTTTTCTAATATTTTTAATCAGCAGTTGGTTGAATCCACCAATGAAGAAACCATGGATACGACGGGCTTCCTGTACTTTTGTAGTCTTTAAACCACTATTAGTTTAGTCTTTCTGTCACATGTAGTCTAATTCAATCTTAATAGTACAATACACCCTCCTCTTCCCTTCAGTTGTACTTGTTAATAGGCTCACCATTCCCTTCAAAGACACCCTCTTAATCTCTGATCCTTCAGTGGCTTTTTCTTACATACAGACTTTAACTAACTCAAGATTTTACATTCCCTAGGAGGGACAGAAACAAGTCCCGAGGTGTTTCAGGTAGTTTCTTTCTATCTCAGAATATTGCATTCCCAGCACATTCTAGTTATTCTTGAGAACTACAAGCAAGAACAAGGGGGAAACTGGATGGGTCCAAGACCACCTGGAGAACTGTCCTATGGTATTGTTCTTTATAATACTGTATTTTCCAATCCAAGAACATTATGCGATTATTTAGGTTTTTTAAATGGCTTAGAGGAAAAATTTAAATGTTTCACACAGCATTTGTACAGTTTTACCAATTTTACTCCTAGATGCTATATTTTATTGATACTGTTATGAAATACGTATTATTTCTTACTTGCTATTTTCTCCTATGTGAAAATGATGATTATTTTTATTTCAACATTTAGTGAATTTTGTTTGAACTTGCAGCCTAGCAAAAGCAACATTTCATATATATCAAAAGTAAAAGTGTGTTTCTTATTATTAGAGGTAGACTTTAATTTTAAAAAAATTAGATCAACTTTATTATCCATAATATTTAATATTTACATATGTGTTTATATTTTAACTACTTGATTTGCCATGAGTTCACAAAAACAGGTACAACTGACTAAGAAATGATTTGTTTATATATCTCCTTACAGTTCCTGAAATAATGCTTATATTTCCACTTTTTAGTGCATAAATTGTATAAAGTAATATCTCTTTAGTGCCTAGGTTCATTCTTTCTAGTTTGAACTATTCTGAAAGACCTTCTCTTAGAAGCATCTAAGTTATATTATTTAGCTAACCTCAAAGTTTTTTTCTTTTTAAATTTGTGTCTATTTTATTTATATTGCTTGGAAAGGCAAATACATTTAGTTTGAAAAATTTTTAACATTTTATGTGAATTTCTATATATCTAGCTTTGTGGTTTTCTAATTGATGTTATATGGAATTTTTTTTCTCTGTGTTGTATGTGTATTTACTTTTTAGTAAATTTTAAAATTTGTACATTATATCCATAATTGCGGTTCAGGTATATATGTATTTTTATTCATCAATTAATTTAGAGCTGTTGACTTTTTAAATAAGTAATATAAAAGTTGAACCTGCATTGTTCCTATTATAAATTAGATTTAATTTTGTTTTTTATGTTAACTTTTCTGATAATTTTATGATGATTAATAAGAAATATTTAAAGAAAATTAAAGCAAAATCTTTCAAACAAATTCTTAAAGTTATTAATGGTATTCATTGTATACTAAATCCCCACAAATAAGGTAAGAGAATTTGTATTAACAAAGATTCTTTGCTTGACCAAGATTTAGTTAGGTTCCGTAACCTTCTCTTAGGCTCATCTGTGTAATTCCTTACAAAATTCAGTTTTAGAAAAATGTTGCAAGAACTCTTCACCCTCAATCACTCTTGATATCTGATTGGCCTTTTCACCTTCCACCATCCCCCAGGTGATATCTGATCATGCTGGCCTGTCGCCAGCAATAATTCTGCTAGGCAGGTGTGGTCAGAATCCTTGATGTTGCCTCTTAATAATTTTTCCTTCATTGCGCTTCACCCTGCTTTTTGGCTATAAATTCCCACTTGTCCATGCTGTATTTTGAGCTGCGTCCAACTTCTCTCCTCCCTCTACACAATCTCACCGCCTTGTCCCTACACTTATATTGATGGTCCTGAATAAAGTCTGCCTTATTGTGCTATATCAAGTATCATTTAATATTTTTTAAAAAAATACAGTGGCACTGTACTTCACATCTACCAACCTCTCCAACTTCTGCCTTTTTTTCTCTTGCTCTCACTCTCACACGTGTTCATTTTTATTACTATATTATTTTTGTTGGTGGTGATGATGATGACATTTATGTATACAAATGTGTCTCAAAAGTATTTAAACTTGGTCTCTATGTTAAAGTGTCCAAAGCTCAGCATTTGATAGATTATCGTGGCTTATTCATGAAGATATTAGATAGCTAGATTTTAATATCATGCATATGAGTTTGGTTTTAAAGAAACATTCACTGGTACCATACATCCTGAGTTTTTGAATATATGAGTTCCTTTTTGCCTATGTGGTTCGGTAAAAATTCCTTGGATATAAACTATTTGATTTAAGCTTTTTAATCTTGTGTATTAAATTTGCTCAATTTCTATTGACATTGTCAAAACAGTCTGATTAGTCAAATTCTCCTTACTATCACCAACACTAACACCAGGACCATATCATCCACCACAAATACATGCAAACACCCTTTGTGCACCCAGAGTCATTACTCCAGAGGTCTGTTTACTTCTCACAGCTATGTGAAGTTTAGGTCTTCATAGCATTAATAGGAAATTATGTGATATTTATATTTCTGTATTGAAATTTATGAAATCCATGTTACCTTTTAGTTTTGATTTTTAAAAAATCTTATATATTTTTATGTTATTTTTGTCAGTTATTTAAAGACAATTATACCCTTAGTTTGGGTCATGATATGATTTGGCTCTGTGTCCCCACCCAAATCTCATCTTAAATTTTACTCCCATAATTCTAACATGTTGTGGGAGGGACCCAGTGGGAGATAATTGAATCATGGGGGCAGTTTCTCCCATACTGTTCTCATGGTAGTGAATCAGTCTCACAAAATCTTATGGTTTTATCAAGGGTTTCTGCTTTTGCATCTTCTTCATTCTGTCTTTGCCTGCTGCCATCCTTGTAAGACGGGACTTGCTCCTCCTTGCCTTCAGGTCTCAGATGGAGATGAGGAACTTGTTGTGAACTGGAGCAAAGGTGCCTCTTGTCATGTTTTAGCAAAGAGACTGGTGGCATTTTTCCTCCACCCTTGAGATTTGTGGAACTCTGAACTTGAGAGAGATGATTTAGAGTATCTGGCGAAGAAATTTCTAAGCAGCAAAGCATTCAAGAGGTGACTTGGGTGTTGTTAAAAGCATTCAGTTTCAAAAAGGAAACGGAGCATAAAAGCTTGAAAAATTTCCAGCCTGACAATGCAATAAAAAAGAAAATCCCATCTTCTGAGGAGAAATTCAAGCCTGCTGCAGAAATTTGTACAAGTAACGAGGAGCCCAACGTTAATCCCCAAGACAGTGGAGAAAATGTCTCCAGGGCATGTCAGAGGTCCTCACAGCAGCCCCTCCCATCACAGGCCCAGAGGTCTACGAGAAAAAAGTGGTTTCATGGGCCAGGCCCAGGGTCCCTGAGCTGTGTGCTGTCTAAGGACTTGGTGCGCTGTGTCCCAGCCGCTCCAGCCATGGCTCAAAGGGGCCAGTGCAGAGCTCAGATGGTGGCTTCAGATGGTGCAAGCCCCAAGCCCTGGCAGCTTCCATGTGGTGTCAACCCTGAGGGTACACAGATGTCAAGCATTGAGGTTTGGGACCGTCCGCCTAGATTTCCGAAGATGTATGAAAACACCCGGATGCCCGGGGAGAAGTTTGCTCAGGGGCAGGATGATCATGGAGAACCTCTGCTAGGGCAGTGCAGAAGGGAAATGTGAGCTTGGAGCCTCCACACAGAGTCCCTATTGGGTCACTGCCTAGTGGAGCTGTGAGAAGAGGGCCACCATCCTTCAGACCCCAGAATGGTAGATCCACCAACAGCTTGCACCGTGTGCCTGGAAAAGCCACAGACACGCAACACCAGACCATGAAAGCAGCCAGGAGAGAGGCTATACCTGAAAATCACAGGGGCAGAGCTGCCCAAAAGCATAGGAACCCCCCTCTTGCATCAGCATGACCTGAATATGAGACACGGAGTCAAAGGACATCATTTTGGATCCTTAAGATTTGACTTCCCCACTGGATTTCGGACTTGCATGGGCCCTGTCATCCCTTTGTTTTGGACGATTTCTCCCATTTAAAGTGGTTGCATTTCCCTAATATCTGTACCCCCATTGTATCTAGGAAATAACTAGCTTGCTTTTGATTTTGCAGGCTGGTAGGCAGAAGGGACTTGCCTTGTCTCAGATGAGACTTTGGGCTGTGGACTTTTGAGTTAATGCTGAAATGAGTTAAGACTTTGGGGGACTGTTGGGAAGGCACAATGGTTTTGAAATGTGAGGACATGAGATATGGCAGGGGCCAGGGGCAGAATGATATTTTTTGGCTCTGTGTCCTTACTCAAATCTCATCTTTAACTGTACTCCCATAATTCCCACATATTGTGGGAGGGACACGGTGGGAGATAATTGAATCATTTGGGCGGTTTCCGCCATACTGTCCTCATAGTAATGAATAAGTCTCACGAGATCTGATGGTTTTATCAGGGGTTTCCACTTTTGCGTCTTCCTCATTCTGCCATCCATGTAAGATGGGACTAGCTCCTCTTTGCCTTCTGCCATGATTGTGAGGCTTCCCCAGCTATGTGGAAGTAAGTCCAATTAAACCTCTTTCTTTTGTAAATTGCCCAGGCTCTGCTATGTCTTTATCAGCAGCATAAGAACAGACTAATACAGGTCTAATTGAATTTATAGTTATTATAGCTCTCTACTTTTTTACTCTTGCTTTTTTTTTTGTTTTAATTTATATTCACCATAATCATGAGAAGACCTTTCTGCCAGTCACTTATTTATTCTTACCTTATGTATTAATTTTACGCAATTGCCCATTGTAGAATTCATTACTTAAAGTGATTTCTCCTTAACCTGAAAGTATTGCTTTTGAGCATTCCATATAATAGTGAGTGGCCAAATGCCATTCTAATTCTCACTGCCTTGTAGGTGACATGATTTTTCTTCACAACTTGTTCATGATATTTCTCAGGGATACTATTTGGTGATTTAACTTCCTTTCACCTATTTTGCCATTTATTGGTAACTTCAGTCTAGCATCACATGCTCTGGCAGTCTTTTTGTCCTAACTGTTGTTAGACTTGCTCAACTTTATTTTTGATCTTGCTACTAAATAATTTTTCTTATAAATTTTCTTTGATGTCAAAGCATATGTTTTATTCCCTGTTTATTTTATGTAGTATTCTAATATTCTTTCATTAATAAAATTTATTTTCAGGTGCTTTTAACTATTCAAATTATACTTTTTAAAAAGTGTTCTTCTGCATCTTTTACCATTCTTATTTCTTTAGAGCTTCTTTTCATTTGCATATAATTTTAACCATGCTCAGTGTTGAAATTTTTCTTCAACTGTTTAAATAGATTTGGTTCATATGTTTGAGTAGAAACTCTAAAATCTCATTTCGGAGCTCTTGTAACATGGGGAATCCCAAGATAGTATTTTCTCTAGGTTCTATTTCTCCAGGGAAGAAATGTTGACTATGTTACCCAATATTGACACCTGTTAAGTTTACTTTCAGAAGTGGGACACAAGGATAAATGGTTGTTTGTTTGTGTCTGGTGATAGAGAAAGAAAAATAATGGGTTCCAGGATTTTAATAGGCTTCATTTGTATTATTTGAAACAAGGTCGTTGAAAAAATACAATATTTTGATAAAAGTTTGCATCTAATTCTATAATCTAGTTTTTGAGAAAAAATAGCAACAGTGTCAAAAAACAATGACTGTTGGTTCTCTGTAAATGTTTCATTTAAGAAAATGTTTGTCCTTGTGTGATAAATAGAGGTTAAAATTATTGCCATTTCTCCAAGTTTACATGTAATTATCACTGTGTAAACATTCTTTATAGTTTGAAAGTCTGTATTAATTTTACTTTTTTTTTGGTCCCAAGTCCTCATTCCAAAAATGACTAATAGCTTATTGGTATACTACTAAAACTATGAATCATATGTTAAATATATTTTTAAAATGTTTGCCTTAATTGTGATTATATAACGTAAATCTAGTATTCTGCCTGTCTCACACAAATGTGTCTTTATTTTAATACATACAGACTTGTAATATGCTGGAAGTAGTAATTCAGTTTAAGAAGAATATTCCCCAGTACAGAAATTATTGCCAACATCTTGATTTTAGTCCAGTGACATTCTTGTCAAACTCCTAACATACAAAACTATAAAAGAATAATTTTATGTTGTTTTAGGCCACTAAACTTGTAATTAGTTACAATAGCAAAAGGAAACATACTTAGAAAAAGTAATTGCTCAGTTCGCATCAAATTCAGTATTAGGAGTAGCCTCATGGTTGGTTTTGGCTCTTTTCAGTGTTCTACTCTTTTCCCTGAATCCTATCTATCACCTTTGTAGGCCCAACACCAGACATAGTAACAGGAAGTCAACAAAAGTTGAATGAAACAATCAATGATCAAATTAATGAGAATAAAATTGACTTTTATACCTTCAAAAGTTAACAGCGGTTATTTGTGAAGAGTTGTCCGATTCTTCCTTAATAAATGTGATCACAATTTTTACCTCATTACCTCATTTAATTGTGACAGACAATAAAATTGTCTATCAGGATTATGCACAGACTCTGATGTATCATTGAATCGGACCATGTGGTGGTGGTCAGAGAGAAGTAGTGGTGGCAGATAAATCTGTAGTTAGAAAAAAATGATTCCCAGAATTGCTAATATGCCTTCCAGCTGAGAATAAGTTATTTAGACTAAATGCAACGGTAGAAATATGGTCACAAATGAAAACAAACACACACAAACACACACCCACACACATCATTTGATTTGGTAGAAATAAAAGAGAAATAGATATCAGGAGATACCTATCAGGGGATGTCCAATCTCAGATCTGTCAATCTGTTACAATTTATTTTAATGCCCCTGAGACAATCTCTTACATTCCCTACCTGTCTGTTTCCTCATGTATACCATTTGAGAAGTTTGCATTAGAAAGAGTTTGAGGCTCTCCTTTTGTTACTTTAAATCATAAATTCTCATTATTAAAAAAGTTAAATTTAGCAGCAAAAAAAAAAAAAGACTTTCAGGTATCAACACTCATGCAAAAGAGCATTTTCATTGTCAAAAGAAGCCTAGCAGCCAATTTTCACCTGTACTGTCACATTCCTTGTAAATTCTATATCCCCTGCCCCTGGGTTAATGAATAAGGATGTTCTTAGCCCACATATAATTTTGTTTCCTTAGTAAATAATCTTACTTGTTAAAAAGCTGACTTTTCTCTCCTTAAATATTGCAGTACACAATTTTTTCACTCTTGCCTGTTCATGGGGTAGGACCTTGTCAGGAGACTCAGACTCCTTATAAGTTTTAGAATAAATGTATTGAGTTTATTGAGTTTTAAAAAAAAAAAGCAGAATTTTTATTTATATTTTGCTGATTTAGTGACCTATGCCCGTGCAAATTCTGATATTTTATAGCATAGTTTCACTCATCCCAAAATATGCAATGTTTAGTCCTTAATTTAATCTATTTTATAGAGTTAAATATTTTTATCTATAGAGTGTCTAATTTTGTTTACTAAATTAATTTGTTCAAACTTGCAAGAAGTGATACTCTTGTCGTGGTTATCTTATTTTTGATGTAGTTCAGTTGGTTATTGCTAATAGAGATTATATTCTGATACTGTATGCAGCAACAGCTGATAAAGTTTCTAATCAGTTTCTATAATTTCTCAGTATTTTTTCTATATAGATAATCATATCATCTACTAATAGTTGCAGGTTTATTTATTCTTTTAAAATACTTCTTATTTCACTTTATATTATGGTAGATGTTATCAGTTCTTCTACTGCAGTAATAAAATGTAGCAAGAATACTTGGTCTGATTATCTTTTGTTTTTCTCTTTTTCATATGTTTGCTGTAGATTTTTATCCATCTTAAAAAAATTTAGGGAGTCTTTTCCTGCTTCTAAGTTGCTAAACGTTACCTTTTATTTCCTTCTTATTAATATGTGTCTGTGTGCAAGTGTTTGTTTTGGACTAATTTCTGAACTAGAACAGAAGGAAATTTTATTTTTTCTGCAAATATTAAAATAATCTTCCAAATTTTTAATTTACTCATTTTTAAGTTAAATTTCATTAACATATTATCTAATATTGAATTGCTCTTTCTTTGAACAATTTTATTCTGATTTATGCATTATTAGAAATGTATATGGACTGGAATAATATTGACTAATAATTTATTTCATTTTTCAAGTCTATTTTCATAAGTAAAATGTCCTTTTTAGTTTCCTTTCTTAAAAATAAATTAAATTAATTATAGAATTGTATGTGGTTATGCAAATAACAGAGATTATTTGGGTTTTTTACTGTTTACCCCAATGGTAGGATCTTACAGAACAATATCACAATCAGAATGCTGCCATTGATACAATCAAGGCAGAATTTTTTTTCTTAAGAATGTTATAAAAATAGAATCATATAGTAGTATTGTATGAGTTCATTCTTGCATTGCTATAAAGGACTATCTGAGACTGAGTAATTTATAAAGAAAAGAGATGTACCTGGCTCATGGTTCTGCAGGCTGTACAGGAAGCATGGCAGGGAAGGCCTCTGGAAACTTACAATCATAACAGGTGAAGGGGATGCAGACACATCCTGCATAGCTGGAGAAGGAGGAAGAGAGTGAAGAGGGAGGTGATACACACTTTTACACCATATCTCATGGGAACTCACTATCATGAGAACAGCAAGGGGGATATTGGGCCTCATGACCCAATCACCTCCCACCAGACCCCTCTTCCAATACTGGGGATTATAACTGGACATGTGGTTTGGGTGAGGAAAGAGAGCCAAACCTTATCAAGTATGTAACCTTTTATGATTGACTTTTTCCCTTTGCATAATTCTCTGAAGAGATGGATATATCAATTTGTTCCTTTTTATTGCTGAATGGTATTCCATTATAAGAATGTATTATACTTTATTCACTGTTTAAGAATATCTGAATTGGCCAAGCATGGTGGCTCACGCCTGTAATCCCAGCACTTTAGGAGGCCGAGGCTGGAAGATCACGAGGTCAGGAGATCGAGACCATCCTGGCTAATACGGTGAAACACCGTCTCTATTGAAAATACAAAAAAAATTAGCCAGGTGTGGTGGCGGGCGCCTGTAGTCCCAGCTACTCGGGCGGCTGAGGCAAGAGAATGGCGTGAACCTGGGAGGTGGAGCTTGCAGTGAGCTGTGATTGCGCCACTGCACTCCAGCCTGGGCGACAGAGCGAGACTCTGTCTCAAAAGAAAGAAAGAAAGAAAGAAAGAAAGAATATCTGAATTGATTCCAGTTTTAGGCTTTATCAATAAAGCTGCTATTCATGTTTGTATATAAGTTTTTGTATGAATTTAAATTTTTCTTATGTTGAAGTAAGTGTTCAGAAGTGCAATTGCTGGATCCTATGGTAGTTTTCTGTTTAATTTTTTTACTGACAATTTTACTGTTCTACTGACACTCTAATTACTCGATTTTTCTGTATTCTTGCCACTATTTGGTATTCAATCTATTTCTTACTTGGACATTCAGATAGATATATAGACATATGAGTATGTGTGGTTTCATTTGTATTTCCCTAATGTGTAATAATTTTGAACACTGTTCATGGACTTATTTATCATCTATATCCTTTCTGATTAAATGCTTTGTTGTATATTTTGCCAGTTAAGTAATCAGGAGCTTTTACTGGTGTGTAATCAAAGTTCTTAACACTGTCTAGATGTTAATATTTTTAAACATGTGGTTTGTAAATATTTTCTCCAAATCTGTAGCTTGTCATTTCAACCTCTTAACAGGGCCTTTTGCAGCACTACATTTTCTTCTATTTTTTTTTTTCTAAATTTTGATGAAATGCCATTCACAGCTATTTTTATTTCATAGATTTACATTTGTTGTTAAGTTTAACAAGTCTTTGCTTACCCTTATCCTAAATCTGAAACATTTTCTTTTGTATTTTATTTTTATTTGTAATATTTTATACTTTTAAGTTTTCACTAAAATTGATGTTGCATTTTGAAGTAGTTTTTGTGAACATCGTGAGACTTACTCTGAGTGTGTCTATTTGTAGGTTATCTATTTGTTCCATTGTTTTATATACCTATGCTTCATCAATACCACACAATCTTGATAATTTTATTCATAAAATGGGTCTTGAAATCAAAGACACTAATTCTTCTCACTTTATTTCTCTTTCCCAACTTTTTAAAATTTTATTTCTTTTCTTGATCTTTTGTTGTTCTATATACTTTTAAAATAGTCTTATCTATAATTACAATAAATCTTGCTAGTATTCTGATAGCAATTTCATTAAACTCATTTATCAATTGGGGGAGAATTGATACTTTACTATTTTGAATTTTCCAAATATTAACACTCTGTGTCTCTTCATTTATTTATATTTCTTTGGTTTCTTTCATTGGTGTTTTGTTTTATTAAGCATGAGTCCTCTACACATTCTTGTTAGATTACAGTCAACATGTGCCTTTTGAGCAATTAAAAATTTTTTTTAATTTCTGTGTCCACATTTATTTTTACATACTCAAATACAATTGAATAATGTATATTTGCTGCATATTTTGCAAGCTAGGTGTCACAGTTATTAGTTACAGGAGTTAGAAACATTGTGTTAGGAATATAATATCTAATAACCCTAGTTATTAGAAAAATTATGTTTGTCGGTTTCTTGAGATTTTCTATGTACACAATTATGTTATGTGCAAATAAGGAGAGTTGGAGGCAGATGAGAGTTAAATTGTTACTATACTTTCTGATTCAGAAAAATTTGGAAGTTTTAAGCATTATGTTAAATAAGAGTGTTCATAGTAAACATCATTGCCTTGTTGCAATGTAAGAATGAAAGCATCTAGTCTCTTATTAAATATAGTATTAGTTGTTGTTTTCTTGTAAAATTTTTGTTATTCTTTCATCAGCAAGTGTTTACTTTTATCAAATTATTTTATTTTATTTATTTATTTATTTGAGACAGAGTCTTGCTCTGTCGCCCGGGCTGGAGTGCAGTGGCACGATCTCGGCTCACTGCAACCTCTGCCTCCCGAGTTCAAGCAATTCTCTTGTGTCAGCCTCCCGAGTAGCTGGGACTACAGGCGCGCCCCACCACACCCAGCTAATTTTTGCATTTTTAGTAAAGACGGGGTTTCACCATGTTGGCAAGGCTGGTCTTGAAATCCTGACCTTGTGATCCAACCCCCTTGGCCTCCCAAAGTGCTGGGATTACAGGTGTGAGCCACTGTATCTGGCCCCAAATGTTTTGTTCTGCATTACTTTATATTACTTTTCATTTTTAGCCTCCTTATATCATGCAGTGTATTGATTGTTTCCTAACTATAAATTAGCTTTGTATCTCTGGTATAAATCCATATTGCTTATAGTATATAGTGTTATATATTACTGAGTACCATTTGTTAATATTTTGATAAGGATTGCATGTCTATTTTCAGGAGAAATATTCATTTATGCTTTTCATCTTTTACTCTGTGTGATTCTGATATCACTGTAGTACTAGCTTCATTTAACAAATAGAGAAGGGTTCCCTCTTTTCTGTTTTCTGGAGGAGATTATGTAGACTTGACATAAATCTTTTAAAAATATTTGCAGTTATCACAGTACCCCACATTCAGATAAACCCTACTCTTAGTTTAATGCTCTGCTTGTCACTTCCTTGAAATTTTAATGAATTTGGGACAAGAATCTCTAGATATTCATTTTTACCCTGGCTTCCAGAAGACCTGCTTGTGATGCATAAACATAATTATGGTTAAGAAAATTGACACTTAATATATCAAAGACATCTGTAAAGAAAATGGATAACTCATTTCTTAGCTGGCATTGATTTGCAGTGAATGACATGTTTGATAAATATTTGGGAGTGTTTATTAACTTCATATTTATCGTATATGTATAAAACTATAGAGCTTTTTGTCTTTCATTATTGATTGTAAGAAAACTACATCATTGATACTAGATATTTTAATTTGCATATTTAATTATGCATGGAGTAAAAAATAAATACTAAGAATAGCAGATTCAATCCACAATAATGTATGCACTTTTTCATTATGATAAAATTTAATTATAAGTTTGAATTATTGATTTCTTGCTTGGGTAAACTAATTCCTCCATTACCAGTAGTAATGCAAACATTTCATAATTAGAGGATAAGACTAGGTAATGGAGATGTGTCTCATCAAATAATTAGACTGCTCAATTTGAGGGATGTTAAATGAGCAAGAAAAAAATGTTATCAGTTATAACAATATATTTGTTTTTGCTTAATTTTCTTTTTATGAAACATAAATAGTCTAAGTTCTGGTATGTGAACAATTTTCTTTTTATGTATTTAGGTGATTAATACAGAAATAAACTCATTAAGGCAAATTAGCATCCATTTTAAAACAGAAGCCTTATAAGTTTACTTTAAAATTACTTAATTTTGGTTCATTTACATTGAATATGCTACTTATTCGGGCTTTAGTGACTACAGAAGAGGTATGCTTTATTTAATTCACAAATTTTATTTAGGCAGTTGACCTGTAACTAACTCAGTTTAGAGAATTCTTTAAAATGCTCCTTATGTTTTTAAACTGTCTCAATGTCATAGGAAGCATTATTTGAAAATGTGTAGAATTGAGTCTCAATATAAAGATCAAATCACCTACTTCCAAGTATACTTTTATTGGCAAATGTTAGTATAAAAGGAGACAGTCTCTCATCAAACCACATTTTTGATTTTCATCTATTTAGATGTGCAAACAATAGGACAAGATATCTTACTAGAATAATATTAAGATTTTCCATAATAGACAGGATATTGGTAAACTTTTGAAATTTTGTTTGAATTGTTGAATGGCTTTTACATCCAAATACTCTAATGCTTGCCTTTAGCAAAATTTGAGATTCACAACTACAGAAGTGAAAATTAAACCTAAAATTAATTTTAGAAACAAATAAGAATCAGAAAAATTACCTGGAATTTTTAAGAAGTAACAATTATTACATGTTTATATTTGAGTTGGTGCAATTTATCTGTTCTTTCCCTGTAAGAAATTACAGTAGAAACATATATGCTTTCCACTGTAGTTTATATCACATCGTGTAATATACAAATCACTTTATACCTAGAGTAATTAATAGGCAAGACAATATATATTTTAATTCTAAATCTTATTTTTCAAAATACTTATGTTACCACTTGCTTATGCAAAAATGATTACAATAATAATAATAAAATGTATTGACTTTATGATATGCTGGTAACTGTGCTATATATTGTGAGCATAGGGTATCATATGACTCTCAAATCACCGTGTGTTATTATTCTCCCCATTTTATACTTTAAGTACCTAGAATGTATTAAATACATTTATATAAAGTTAAATATATTAAACAACTGCTAATATTACTCAGCTCTTATGTAGCTGGAAACCACACATTAATGTAAAAGACAGGCTATTTAGTTATTTCATTTGTCTGTCTTTAGTTCAATCTTTCTTTCAAAGGCATTTTATAATTTGTGTAAAGATACATTCTCTTAAATGTATTTTACCTTTATTATCATGTAACTTATAAAATAACAGCACATACACTTTTATTAAAACATTCACTCTATCCAAACAATATCATTCTGGATATGAGATCATTTGAAAAACATAGAAATAGCCAGTCTATAAAGATAAAATGCTGTATGAATAGCCAAAGAGACATATATTACAATGTTAATTTTATATCTGAGTGTGGTGCATGCATATTTTTGTTTGTTTTGTTTTTTCAATTATAATTTTAAAAATATTTTTTACATGTAATGATTTACAATGTAAAGCAAGTTTGTTTTTCTGAGAGTAGAATATTTAAAAGTACATACCGATATATATGCCTTTTTTCTTGGTTATTGTTATTCTCTTAAAAAAATCATTATTTCCTCCAACATTATGATATAGCTATAGTTATTACTCAAAACCTAACATGGAAACAATGGCAGTGAGTCATGGGTGCCAGAGGAAATATACTAAATCTTAATATATGTATATTGTTTGCCTCCTGTTTCATTTACCTTTGAACAGGAAATACCTTTTACCCACCCAATATACACACAAAATATATTAAAGAATTCAAAAATTTTTCTGGCTGTGGCTTAGTAGACATCATTTATGCATTTGGGAGCCACATAAAACATTGATTAGGATTGAATTTGAGTTTATTTAACACACAGAAGAAATACATATAAAATGGTGTAACTCAGAAACTCAAAAGTACTAATAGAAAGGCAGAAAAGTCCATCAATGCCTTAAGGAAGTATAAAATTAATAGAATAATAATGAACATACAAAGGACATAATAGAATGCACATAAAACAAAACAACAAATAAATAAAGCAACAAATTAAAAAACCCGCAAACATGGCTAAAACTTTAGAGAGTTTAGAAAACTTTCCAGGCTATTTCATCAAAATACAGCCTTGTAACAGCAACTTGGTCAGACCAATAATGGTATTCTTGTTAGATACAAAAGCATGTAGGGGGGAAATAGCAAATTTTTGCCTAGAAGCAATTTCTAAGCCATTTCTATTTACAGGAACATAATGAACACTGATAAACCACTGTGTGTGTTACATCATAGTCAATTTAGAGAAATTTATAGTTTTATTAAAAAATTGGTGGTTTGAGTGTAGAAATCATGTTTTATCCTATAATGATTTCCAAGAGATTAACACAGAACCTGACACATAAAAAGTCTCATAAATAATTCTTTAGTATAACTTTAGGATAAATTCAAGATGTCAAATATGCGACACTGTAGCTCTCCTATAAAAGATGTACTTTCTGTGGAAATGCTTCTTAGTCATACTATAAATTATACGGTAATTTAGATGTTACTTCTTGATATTTAAGACCTAACTGATGGCAAGGCATAGTGGTTCATGCCTGTAATCCCAGAACTTTAGGGAGGCTGAGGCGGGCAGATAGTGTGAGGCCAGGAGTTCGAGACCAGCCTGGCTGACATAGTGAAACCCCCCCATCTCTACTAAAAATATAAAAATTAGCCTGGTGTTATGGTACATGTCTGTAGTCCTAGATACTCAGGAGGCTGAAGCATAGGAATTGCTTGAACTTGTGAGGCAGAGGTTGCAGTGAGCCGAGATCTCTCCACTTCACTCTAGTTTGGGCAACAGAGTGAGACTGTCTCAAAAACAAACAAACAAAAAATATAACTTATTTTTTGCCTCTAGAAAATGAAATAAACAAAAAATAACTTACACATTCAGAATTAATTATATTTAAATTAATTAATGAGTTTGGAAAGTACAAATATAATGCAGTAGCCTGTGTGAAGTCCAGCAAAAGAACAATTGATTGATTTTTTTCTTTCACAATTTTTGTAGTGCATAGAATAAAATGTGATATCTCTTTACCCAAAACATTATCAGATAAAAACAATTTGACATTTTGAAATCACTTTTAAGTTTTTCATAAAAACATTTATCAAGTGACAAAGTAAAACTAAAATGAACAAACAAAAACAAGTAAAAACACCAGAATTTTAGAACAGGAAGAAAGTGATCATAAATGTCTAATACTTTCAAAGAAGAGAACATACATGATTTGCTTTGTTTTATGCATAAAAGTGATCTGTCTTTCCTTGATGAAATATATGTATCTAACTCGATTTAGAGGAGCTAAAAGACTTGTTACTAAAATCTATAAAATATTCATGAAAGAAAGTGAAAAAGACGCAAATAAATGGAAGGACGTGTTCATAAATGGGAAAATTTGATATTATTAAAATATTCATACTCTAAGTGACCCACAGGTTAAATGTAATCCTTACCAAATTCTTAATGATGTATTTTTTTACAGAAATAGAAAAAAAAGCCTAAAATTCATGTGAAACCACAAAAGACCCCAAGTAGCCAAAGGAAGCTTAAGCAAGAAGAACAAAGTGGAAAGTATCATACTTGTTAATTTCAAAATATATTATAAAGCTGTAGCAATCAAAATAGTATAGTACTGACATATAAACACACATTGACTAATGGAATAGAATAGAGAGTCCAGAATTACACCCATGGGTTTACTCTAAAGAGATCTTTAACAACCAGGGAAAAGAATATATAATGGGGAAATTATAGTCTCTTCAATTAATGATATTAAGAAAACAGAAAATCCACATGTGACGGAATAAAATCGGACTACTCTTTTAAACTGTACAAAACATTAACTGAAAATGAATTAAAGACATAAATATAAGGCTCGGAAATGTAAAACTCCTGGAGGAAGACACTGAAAAAAAAAATTGACTTCTGGTGCTGGAAATGATTTCTTAATCAGGAAAGTGAAAAAGCAACCTATGAAATGAGATAAAATATTCATAAATTATATATCTGCTAAAGGATTAATCTCTAAAATACATAAATAACTGGTACAACTCAATAGAAAAAAATTAAAAACAAAAAACATAAAAAGTGGACAAAGGGCTTGAACAGACATTTCTCCAAAGATATGCAGGTGGCCAGCTAATACATTAAAAGGAGCTCAACATCTCTAATCTTCAAGATAATGCAAATCAAAACCCCACTGAGAGATCACTTTACACCCATTAGGATGTCTATGAACAAAAGGACAAAAGAGAGCAAGTATTGGTATACATGTGTAGAAAAGAGAACCATTTTACATTGCTGGTGGGAATGTAAATTGATAGAACCACTAAAAAAACAGAATTGAGGCTTCTCAATAAATTAAAGTTGGAACAACTGTATGATCCAAAATACTGATGGATTTATACCCAAAAGAATTGACATTGAGATGTCAGAGATATTTGCATTCCAATATTTATCAAAGCATTATTTACAATAGCATAAAAAGAAACTTACTACATGTCCATTAACAGAAAAAATGGATAAAGAAAAATGTTATATACATACTGTAAAATAGTATTCAGCCTTAAAAAAGAAATTCTGCCATTTGCTACTGTGTGGATGAATTTGGAGGACATTATTCTAACTGAAAAAGCCAGAAACAGAAGAACAAATACTGCATGATACTACTTAGGTATCTAAAAGAGTCAAACTCATGGAAGCAGCGAGTAGAATACTAGTTGTCAGGAGCTCAGAAGAGGAGGAATCAGGGAGGTATTTTCAATCAGTACATAGTTTCAGTTATTTAACATAATAAATCCTATACAGCATAGCATGTATGGTTACTTATGTTGTATTGTAGCAGTCCCCAGTCTTTTTGGAACCAGAAACTAGTTTCGTGGAGGACTTTTTTCCCACTGACAAGGGGTGTACTGGGGATGGTTTTGAGATGGAACTGTTCCACCTCAGATCATCAGGCAACAGATTCTCATAAGAAACCACAACCCACATCCCTTGCTTGTGCAATTCACAATGCAGTTCACACTCCTATGAGAATCTAATGTCTCCGCTGATCAACAGGTGGCAGAGCTCAGGCAGTAATGTGAGCATTGAGACCTGCTGTAAATACAGATAAAGTGTTGCTCGCCGGACCAGCACGGGTCTGCAGCCCAGGCGTCGGGGACTCCTGCTGTATTGTATGTTTAAAACACTGTTATCATTGTAGTACTTTTGTTAAATGTTCCTATCAAAAAAACAAACAAACAAAAACAGAGAGGAATCTTTTTGAGATGATGATCATGTTTTATGGCATAGTTTATGGATGGGTTCATGGGTCTGTATATCTTTAAATTTATCAAGATGGGTACATTAAATTTGTACAGATTTTTATATGTTTTACAAGCCACTCACAACAACAGCAACAAAAAGGGATGGTGTGAGTAAAAGATGGGATAAAGAACTCTGTATTTCTTTTGAGGAGAATATATTTTTGAGAAAAATTTAAATGTTTCAACTCAGATTTATAGTATGGAATTCTTATGAATGTAAAATTACTTTTGTTAATTTTGTTAATTTTGAAAAAAATGTATCAGTGGCTTATTATATAGAAGAAATTCAGTGGTGAAGAATCACTGAATAGGTTTCTTTCTCCTAATTCTCAAAGGTCAATTAGGCAGTGACGTACAGCTTTATCTCTGCCAACTAATACAATAGTCACTTTAGGGTTTCAGGAATTAGAAAGTTCAGTCCAAAATAAATAAAAAATTTGATCCTCTATTTTCTTGAAAGCTACTATATTCACACTCAGGTGCAAATCTCTCCTAAGTTTGCTGACATCCGCTGGGCTGCAAATCTTTCTTTGATCACATTCTTTATCTCTTTCACGACTAACTACAGTCTTGCTCTATGTGGCTTGTGAAAAGGAATGAGGGAAAAAATAAAAAGGAAAAATCTTACTTAATAGCCATGGGTAATTATTAAAAATGAACATTTATTAAATGGTAACTAATGCAGAGTTTATATATTTTATCAGTTTATGAGAAATGGGAAACTATACTAATGTTGCCAACACCAGGACCAATAATCATGTTTAGGAGAATTTCATATATTCAACAGTATCAGTTAAACACTCAAACTGAAATTTTTTTCAGGAAGGAACTGAGAAAAAATTTAACTGACAAATGTTTAATAAAGTTTGTTTCATGCACTTTTGTTCATCATTTTTATTTGAAAAATGAATAGTTCATTCTACAATATTTAAGATTTTTGTCAGAATTACATGAGATATGAAAACGTGCATAGGTAAGAAATTACCACATTTCTTACTGAGAAAAAAACTTATAGTAGGTTGGCAACTGGATTACATGTGATTAGGTAGCTAGAATATGTACATTTCTTAAAAAATATTGCCTGAAAGATATGATTACTAGAATATGAGTTCAAAACATATATCACTATTAATTATGGTAGGCGATTTTTTTCAAAATCATTAAGAGTTCATGGTTTATTTTTACCTACATATCATTTTGAAAACATTAATGAAAGTAAATATCTACAATTTCAATGTAAATTAAGCTATTATCTTTCAATAAAGTTTACCCAGTTTTAGATCTTCATACATATTATAGTTATACAGTAAAATTTTACCTTCATTCATTAAAAAAACTGTTGAGTATGTCTATTATTTACATGAATGAATAATCAGACATCTTGCCTTTAGAGCTGGTTCCTTCTACTGTACTTGGTGTTCAAATACATTAATATTTGGGGTATTATATATACATGGACTATCCTTAAATGACAATCTTGGTAGTAAAAATTACTTTTTTGCCCCCTAATTCTGCTGTATGAGACTAGGACTCCAGAGAAATCTTTTCCAGAAGTAACTATTCTAGGATTTTACTGTTAGATAACAATTTTTGGTGATACTTGAGTGATTCTCTCCTAACCCATTGATGCCAGGAATCTTTCTTCTTGACCTTTAACTGATGTTCATATCACCCAGGAAGCACACCCCAGTCAAACCCACTGGAATACCCAGTTATAAAAAAAGGTGGGAAAATAAGGTTGTCATAAAATCTTCATGTTTTAAGTCCCTTTTTAACTCTCCTTTACTCCCTCTGACTTAACATAATTCTTACCTTTTTCTTTGATCCTTTTATGTCTTTTCTTTCACAAATACTAATCAATTTATCTTTTTCTAGCTATTATTCAATATCTATTATAAAAATCCATATGTATCTGTTTAAGAACTATATTTACAAGTGATAAAATCAATTTAACTCAATTCAGCAAATATTGTGTGTGCATTCTTATTTAATTGTTATATTTCCAGAGAACTTGCCCATATAGCTCCAGGCAATAAGTAGCCTGTTTCTAGATATTTTAATTTGAGCCAATTTCAGGAAGGGATTCAACTAAGATATGACATTTACTATATACCTCTTAAGCACCAGTAACTATTTTACATGATTTTTATGTAGAATCTGAGTTAAACTTCATAGTAACCATTTAGAGTGTTACAATATTTATGGAAAATAGAAAACATATTCAGTAACTGTGCTGAAGCCCATAAATTTTCCACTAAAACATCTAATTAATGAGTGATAAGAAACTTATTTTGTATAACTTACTGTAAATTCTAAATGATATTTTCACAGATCATGTAGAAAAAAAAATCCTGTCCCTGACAGTCACTCAGACCTGAGAGGAAAAAGACTCATTGTAATAATGTTTGAGTTTGTTTCGGAAAATTTGTTTCTCCACCATCCTAACACCCTAGTCAATGAATAGCTCCCTAAAGACTCACTGACAATGGCAGAAATGTCTACACATTTATTTGACATTTAGTTTCCGATCGAGAGCCCATCTGGATCTTTCTAAATGGCGTACCAACAGAGAGACCATAGTCAGATCCATTTAACAGCTGGGATTAGAGTCATTTGCAGTTGTTTTTTCATTATATGTAGAAGCAACCTTAAAAAAAATAAAGAAACACTTTTATTTTCAACTCTATGGTGAAAGAAAGGGAATGAGGGAGCCGGCAGTGAATTTTCATGAGGCAAAGGCTTCTTTTATTCTCCAGTGAAAATCTAATGAGAGAATGACTTTCTCTGCAGTACAGTGAACTGAAGGTCATCATCAATTCTGTTTACTCCTGTTGCAAGTGACTCCAGTGCTTGTAAATAATTCATGATTCTATGTGATAAATAACATTTTATGTAAAAGAAAACCATGCCCGGGTTTACTAAGTGTTTCTTTAATCTTTTGAAATATATCAACTAAAATGCTTCCTCCCTTGTATACAGCCTTAGCTTAGTCTCATAAGAATTGTTTCCAGGTCTTTGTTATTAAAAACATGGGATGCCTTACTGTTAAAATACGGAAAAACTTGTTGCATAAAGGCAAATTGGCATAAAATCTGGTTTATCATTTTTAAGATTTCTGAAGAAGCAACATTATAATGTGTATGGTATATTTATCTGAATAACTGGAATATTTCAAGTGGTTATAAACAAGTAGATTATAGACTCAATTGTATAAAATAAAAATTCAGGTAAAAGCAAATCCCTATAGTTCCCCAAAACAGTTTTTCATCTTTCAAAGCAAGAAATTTTAAAAAAAAATTAAATATATTTTTTCCAAATATAATAAAATACATATTTTGTTAAATTTTTCAAGTATTTCTAAAATGTATGAATTAAAACATTCTGCTATAAAATATCTACTTTCATTACACAAACATCAATAGTGAAATCAATAAGGATAAGGTAAATATTTTTCTAATTTAAAAAATATTTGGAAAATTCTTCTAAACATATTGTAGAAACCATTTTTCTTTTGAGCAATGATTTTACTAGTTTCAATTAAAATAAGTAAAGTTCATAATGAGTCAGAGTTACCTAGAAAAAAAGAATATTCAAAGAAAGAATTGCTTTTAACACCTAATGAAGTCATTACCTCTTATTACATGAGACATTTTATAATTTAGGTGCATAAATGTATACATATCTCAGTTTGTTCAAAGATTTGACATTTTCAATATGTGCTTATCAAGAAACCATGCTAATTGGATGTTTTCATGTTTTTGTAGCATCAGGGCTTTCTGAGAAAAGGAAACTGGCAACCTGCGTTAAGGAACGTTGGGTGGCAATTGTTCCTTTGAAGTTAGAAGTTGTATGTTTTCCCATAGCATTTGGTCACATTCTAATGGTGATAGACCCAGAATCGTTTGTTCTTTTTGTTTTCAACCCTAGACCTAAATGATCACATCAAAGAGTTGTAAAGGTCACTCTCCTTTCCTCCTGACAGATACTGTGTAAGCAGTTTCTACATAAGCTCCAAAATTCATAATTACAGCTTTTTTTTTTGTTTTCCTATGGTACAGAACTCTTCCTATATCCTCTGTCATATAATCAAATGACATCTGGCCTTATCATGCTGCCCTATGGGAGACTGGGGCTTAGAAAACCAACAATAAGATGATCAATGAGTAAACAAAATGTGTTTTTCCTAATCTAGTGGTCTAGTATGCCAGGTATATGTTATCTGTGTAAATAGTGTAATATCTCAGATCCTTCCCAGTTTCAACGTCCTTCACTACTTTATGAATTCTTCTTTCAAGGTCAAGTTTAATTTTTTTTAAATAACAAAAACTTTCTGTAAGACACAATAAATAATTCACATGAATATTTTAGGTTGGGATTATCTGTTTTATTTTTAAATTAGTTATACCCTTTTTTCTTCCTAAACTAATCAAACAAGTGTTCATGCATATCCTCATCTGCCAGGCATCTTGAAGTGTCATAATAGTAAAACATAGTATTAAAATTATATTAGCTAATACAATTATTTTACTTATAAAACAAAGATCATATTGTCTTTATATCCAAAATAATCATTATAGGTTGGCCAAATGTGAGGAAAAAATATCATATAGAATACTCACGGTAAAACAAAAATCACTGATTTCTCTAATGATATATACATTTACCAGTCTTATATTCATACTCCAAAAGTCAGTTATTTTTACTTGCTATGTTATTCAAAACAGTTAACATTTTTTAGGTTTACAGTTAACTTATTTTTACTGAAGATTTATGAATAATGGCTTGAGTATTTTTCTTAAACATAAACATTTAAATCTAATGACATACAAACAAAAGGGCAGATAATGGAAAGCCAACTAAGAAATCTATTAAGAGTAGACTGGCTAAAAGGGCTAGTGAAAATATTGTTCCCAAAGAATTTCTAGGGCTGGGCCCAGTGGCTTACACCTGTAATCCCAGCACTTTGGGAGGCCAAAATGGGTGGATCACTTGAGGTCAAAAGTTCGATACGATCCTGACCAACATGGTGAAATCCCAACTCTACTAAAAAAACACAAAAAGTTAGCCAGGCGTCATGGCCCACACCTGTAATCCCAGCTAATTGGGAGGCTGAGGCAAGAGAATCACTTGAACCTGGAAGGCGGAGGTTGCAGTGAGCCGAGATCACGCCATTGCACTCCAGCCTGGGCAACAAGAGCAAAACTCTGCCTCAAAAAAAAAAAAAGGATTTCTAGAAAGTAAAGTTGTAATACAAAAAAAGATAATATTTCTTATAAAACTAGAGCAGCAAACCTTAACTTTAGTTACACAAATACAATGACACAAAGTTTTTGATATTCCCAATGTTCAGTTCACATCCTGTATAAATACATCCTGTATAAATTAAATTAAATTAAATAAGAATACTTAGGTCTGTAAGCCAAGCGTTAGTAATCTTTAAAGCTCTGCATGCAGTTTTTACACATTGTCAAGTTTTAGAAGCAATCAAGACTGACTTCTGCAGGACAGTGTGAGGAACTCCTCTGACCTGCCCCTCAGTGAAACTGGTGAAAATTATCAAAAAAAACCCCAATCATTTGAATCATTTGAAATGGGCTTAAGATAAAACTGCACATGAAGATGCACCTATTATAGAAAACCTACAAAAAATGGTAAAGATAGGTGAGATTTTGTGGTATTTGAACCAAGATAGCTTCTTCCCTTTTCACTCTGAACTCAGTGAGGCAGAGACTCCACTCCAGATTGCTGCAGCTAAGAACATAGGGCTTTCTCTTCACCCGGCTCCCAGATGGAAGCTGTTCTTCCAAGAACAAGTAAAACTTTAACATTTCTCATCCTGTCTCCAGCTACCTATTGCTGAGGACAACCCTTGGGTGAATGCAGTTGAGGTTGGGCTTTCCTTCTTCCACACATTCCCTACTTGAGGAAAAGAGGCAGTATATTGGATGTGGTGCTCTGAGAATACTCTGGCCCTAGTAGACCTTCCTTAACTTGTGAGATGATGTTTGTATAACAGCAGAGGCAAGCAGAGACGACCCCAGGCTGCTCACCCTCTTCCCCTTCCACAGCACTCAGTACCTACAGTGGAGCTGTCACTCAGAGGAAACCTTAATATTTTCTCCAACCCCAAACTCCAGAGCCATAGATCAGAGATTCTGCCTGAGGGAAGAGTAACCTAATAAAACAGATGGTTTAATCTCTTTCCAAAGGACTGCCTTCATTTGCAGCATAGCATGGAAAATTTTAAACCTAAACATACTGTAAAATTCAGTGGAGGTTGTGATGAAAACTAATTTGAAGAAAATTTGTGGGTCTAATGGAAATAAGATGTAGCCTGTATTCCTGTTACTTAGCAGGGAGAACTGGGAAATAAGCTGAGAAAACACTTCAGGGGTCAGAAAATTTCAAACACTTACTTCAGAAACTGTTAAATATTTTCTCCAGAAATCTACAATTTGATTAAATTAGTTTGTAGAGGTATTTATGCCTCAGGGCATTATTGAAAACAATAAGTGTCAAAAACAGCCTGTAATTAATGGAGCGTGACAGCTGTGTATGGTCAGGGAAAAAGTGGTAGAGAGCCTTACATGACCACTGCACTGTAGGTGTAGTATGGTATACCCAAAGATGTGTCTTCATGAGGAACAGACTGACACTTTGCATGGAGAGTAGTCAAAAATATTCCACCTAGTCATTAAAGATATAAACAAGCAAATTACAATCACAAGCCTCCCAGGACAGTATGCAAAGATCCTATATATATTGCCTAAAATATCTAATTTCAAAAAAAAGCTTGTGAGGTATTTATAAATAAAGTATTATCCTACAGCAGAAAAAAAGGCAATAGAAACTGCTTGTGAAAGCAGCTAAATTTCAGATTAAACAGAAAAAGATTTCAAAGTAGTCAATATAAATAAATATGCTCATTAACCTAAAGCAAAGCACAGTTAAGGAAGTAAAGAAATATATCATAACAGTGTTGCATCAAACAGAAAACTTCAATAAAAATATAATTTATTTTAAAAAGAGTAAATGGAAATTGTGTAGTTAAAAAATACAATAACTGAAATGTATAACATTTAGTAAAAGGGTGTAACAGTAGATTTGAAATGTAAACATAGAGACAAAAACACACACTTCATAATAAAAATGCTGAAAGTCAAAGAAAAGAAAAAAACTGTTGAAAGTAGCAAGAGAAAATGGCATATAACTTACAAGAAACTCCCAGTAAGACAGAAGCTGACATTTCAGAAAAATTAACAGAAGCTAGGAGGCAAACTATTTTAACATATTCAAAATACTCAAAAAAGCCAGCAACAACAAAAACTGTCAATCAAGTGTCCTATACTCATCAAAGCTCTCTTTCAAAAATGAAGGTGAAATAAACACATGATTCAATAAAGAGAAACTGAGACATACTCTTTCTTACTGCTCTGCCTTAAAGACATATATCAAAAATTCTTCAGGTTGAAAGCAAGTTCTGCAAATGGTAATTATAACCTATAAAAACAAACAGAATACTGATAAAGTTAATTATGTAATTATAAAGGAGACGATAAATGCATATTTTATTCTTCCCTATATTAACTGATTTTAAAAGCCATTGTTTAAAATAATATGTGTAAAATGTATTGCATATACATTTAGAATAGACATATAAAACATAAAAATGCAGTGTATGTGTAATATATTTGTCAATAACAGCACAGCAGTGATTGGTGGGCACAAAGCTGTAATGGGTTAAAAAAATGATGACAGATGATAGAGTCATAACAATAAGAATGTCTTGTTGGGTTTTTAACACTAATTAAGGCATTACATGTAACAATAATTCCATTTAATGGGGATAAAGGTGATATATAGTAGTAATGTTTACACATAATACTGAATTAAGCTGGTATAAATCTGATATTGTCCTAATAAGTTAAAGTGGGTATGATAAATGTTAGAGTGAACACACAAACGCATACACACACACATACACACAACTAGAAAATGGTGCAGAAAGCATTAATAAAATCAAAATGCCACATTAAAACACAGTCATTTAATAGAAAATAAAGCATTAAAGTGAAATAGAGGAAAAAAAGACGAGATATACAACACAAAATATAAAATAGTAGACAGAAGTCTAACTATATCAGTAACATTATTACTGATAGATTAAACATTTCAATCAAATAAAGATTTTAAGACCTAATTTTTACAAAATGATACAACTTTATGTTGTATACAGGAGATGTATTTTAGATTAGAAAACAAATAGATTGAAAGTAAAAGGATGGAAAAGATTTATCAGGCAAACAGCAACCACAGGAAAGCTGATGTGACTATACTAATAGCAGACAAAATAGACATTAAAATAAAAATGAGTTACTAGAAATAAAGAGTATATTTTATAATAATAAATCAACCCATCAGAAAGGTATAACAGTTTAAAACATATGTGCACCAAAAAACATAATACCAAAATGCATAAATTAAACACTGACAGAAATTAAGGGAGAACTAGATAATTTAACAATAATAGTGGGCGACTTCTGTATTCCACATTTAATAATAAATAGTATGTAGTCAGAAATTCAACAATCAAATAGAAGAATTGGAACACTATAAACTTACTAGGCCTGGCAGATATTCATAGCACATTCCACCAGCAACACAGAATATAGATTCTTCTCAAGTGCAATTGAAGCATTATTCAGGATACATCACATTAAATGTCATAAAAAAATTGAATACATTTAAAATGATAGAAATAATACAAAATATGTTCACCAACACAATGAAAGAAAATTAGAAATCAATGACAAGGAAAATTTGTACTTACTTACAAATATATAAATATTAAGCAACACACTCTCAAGTAGCCAAAAAATTAATAAAATTTAAAAGGGAAGTTATAATACATTAAGAAGGATAACAATGAAAACATGGTATTTACAAACTGCTGTGAAAGCATTGTTTAGAGAGAAAATTATAGCGGTAAATGTCTATGTTAAGTTAGAAAAAAGAACTCAAAACAAAAACTTAATTTTCCAACTTACACCATCAACAAAAGAGCAAACTAAACCTAAGACAAGCAGAATAAAATAAATAATAATTGCTAGATAGTAAAATAGAAAGTAGGTGAAAAGATAAAATAAAGAAAATCAATGCAACCAAAAGCTGGTTCTTTGAAAAGATCAATAACATTGACACAACTTTAAATTTACCAAGAAAGAAATGGAGAAGAGTGAAATAACTAGAATAAGAAATGAAAGAGGAGCCATTACTATTGACATAATCAATTTAAAAAAAATTAAAAAGAAATGTTGTGAACAATTGTACGCCAACAAACTAGATAATTTAGATATAATGGACAAATCCCTAAAAGACAAACTGTCAAATTTGACCCAAGAACAAATACACAATTTGAATAGACCTATGAGAAGTGAACAGACTGAATCCGTATTCAAAAACCTGTCCACAAGGAAAATGCCGTTCCTAGATGTTTCACTAACCCAAGTCTTCCAAATATTTAAAGATAGTTCACGAAAATGGTTTACAAATTATTCTCTTCCACTTACCTCCCAAAATAGAATACTTCTCAACTAATTTAATGAGGCCAATATTACCCTAAAATGAAATACAAACAAATCATCAACAGAAATGGAAATCTTTAAACCAATATCCCTTATGAAGCTGTATGCAAAAATCCTGCATAAAGTACTAGCAAACTGAATCCAGAAATACATAAAAAGAATTATACACTCCAATCAAGTAGGATTTACTCTAAAAATGAAGGTTGACTGCATCTAAAAATTATTATTGAAATACAATTTACTAAAATAATAAAAAATGAAAATCATGCTATCATCACAATAAATGCAGAAAAAACATTTGACAAAACCCAGAAACTTTCAATAACAAAAGCACTAAAAAATAACAATGTGAAGGAACTCTCCACTCCCTGAAGCTGATGAAGGGAATTATGAAAACTCCACAGCTAACATCATACTTACAGGAAAAAGACAGGATACTTCCCACTTACAGTCAAGAAAAAGACAAGGATGTCTATTCTTGCTGTTTTAGTTAGCATTGTGCTAGAGATTCTAGTTAGGCAAGAACAAAAAGAAAAGTAGATGAGAAAGGAAGAATTGAAACTATATTAACAGACCATGTGATTATATGTATAAAATCATATGAAATTACTAAAAAATTAAAAGTAATGAGTTTGGCATGGTTGTAAGATACAATATCAATATCAAAAAATCAGTTACATTTCTATGCTCTTGCAGTGAATATTTTTAAATGTATTTTTTAAAGTTTCAGTTATAATAGCATCAAAAAATTATATACCCAGGAATAAATGTAACAGAAAAACAAAGTGTCTACTCTAAAAACTGCAAAGCATTGTTCAAAAAACTAAAGAAAATCTAAGTAAATGAAAAAATACCCAGGTTCATGGATGAGAAGACCTAATGTTGTTAAGATGGCAATACTCCTCAAACTGACCTCCAGATTTACTGCAATTCCTATGAGAATCTTAGCCAACTTTTCTGTGGAAATTGACAAGCTGGTTCATGTAGAATTGCAAGAGACCTAAGGAAACAAACAAAAAAGTTGAACCCTTACATTAGACCATATAAAGAAATTAACTCAAAATATATTAAACACCTAAATGTAAAACCAAAAATTAAAAAATTCTTAGAATAAAACATAAGGGCCCATCTTTTGGACCTTTGATTGGCAAAGGATTCTTAGATATGACACCAAAAGCAGTAGTCACTCACGCACACAAAAATTGATAAACTGGACTTAATCAAAATTAAAAATGTTTGTACTTCACAGGACATCATCAAGAAAGGGAAAAGTCTGCCCAGAGAATGGGAAAAAAAATTTACAAATCACATGTTTGAAAAGGAAATCCTAATATGCGTATGCATATATATATATATATATATATATATATAATCATACAACTCAAAAATAAAAACAACACAATTAAAAAATAGGCAAAAGATCTGAATAGACATCTCTTCAAAGGAGATATACAGATGGTCAGTAGGTGTAGCCATGCTCCAAAGAACTAAAGAAAACAGTGAATAATAGAAAGTGTTGAGCTTACAGGAAGAGCAAATATGAAAAGAAACAGCTTGCTGATACTCCGTTAGCTTATAAGGTAACAAAACTGGCTGATACCAGTTAGAACCAATATGGACAACTATGGTCTGTGTGGAACGAACTTGCTGACATCACAGCCTAAATTTCCATTGCCTGTTTCATATCACGCCCCCACCCAAATTTGCACATGCAACCCATGAAGGGGCATGAAGAGACAACTGTGCCTATCGGGGAACTTTACAGGGGGAAAGGGGTAGGGACACAGATGTGAACTGGCCTTTTATCTCACTGTTGGTGGACACAAAATAAAGCTTTTTTGTTTTGCTTTGCTTTTTTTTTTTTTTTCGTTCTCAAAACCTAGTGCCATGGTATTTGCTTCTAAGGCATCAGGCAGCGAGCTCTTTAGCTCTTTTCTCAACAACGTAAGTACTCAAAAAGGTTCTCCAAGTCATTATTCATCAGGGAAGTGAAAATCAAACTCACAGTTTGATACCACTTCACATCACTCAGATTACTAGAATCAAAAAGTAAGATAACAACAAGTGTTGGCAATAATGTGTAAAAATGAAACCCTCCTATTCTGCTGAAAGGAATTTGAAAATGATAGAGCTGCTTTAGAAAACACTTTAACAGTTCTTAATTTTATTAAATATAGAGTTCCATTATGACCCATCAATTTTACTTCTAGATGTATACCTGAGAAAAAAGCACATATTTACATATACAGAACCTTGCATGCAAATTTTATAATAGCATTATCCATAATAGCAAAAATGTAGAAATTGCTTGCTTTGGCAACACACATACACAAAAATTGTAATGACACAGAGAAGATTAGTATAGCCCCTGTGCAAGGATGACAGGCAATTCATGAAGCATTCTATATTTTTATTGTACATTTAAAAATAACTAAAAGTATAATTAGATTGTTTGTAACACAAAGAATAAATGCTTGAGGAGCTGGATACCCAATTTTTCATGACATATTGCATGCCTGTATCAAAATATCTCATATGGCACATAAATATTTATACCTACTATAAACCACAACATTTTTTAATGTGGAAATAAAAACACTTACTATATATCCACAATTTTTTTTAAATGTGGAAGCCAACCAAATGACTGTCAATGGAGAAATAGATAAACAAAATGTGATGTATCCATTTAATGGAATATAATTCAAACATAAAAAAAAATGAAGTGCTGATACATGCTATAACATGGATGAATCTTGAAATCATTACACTAGGTGAAATAAGCTAGTAACAAAAGTTTTACATACTGTATGATTCCATTCATATGAAAGTTCAGAAGTGGGAAATCTATATATACAGAAAGTAGATTAATGATTAGATCTGGGCAGAAGTGTCTTGAAGGAGGTGACAGCTGAATGTTACAGGGTTATCGGTTTGTTTTTGAATGATGGAAATGTTTTAAAATTGATTACTGGAATAATTTCACATATTCATTAATAAACTGTCAACCATTAATGTATACTTTATATACAGAAATTATACAGTATATAAATTATATCTCAACAAACCTGTTTAAAAATAATGGAATAGGATTCTTATAAGATGTAAGAATCTGTATGTGTGTGACTATCTCTTTACAACTCTCTATTACATACTTATATTTTTATTTATCTGTATTTCTATAAATGTCTACATTTACATCTCTAAATATTCACCAATCTACGTATGTGTCTATTCACCAATTTTTTATTATCTCTTTTAATTTTTTACCTATAAACACTGTGCTGGGATATTTTTTCTCTCTCTTTTTTTTGGAATGGAATATTTTATTCTCAAGCTACATATTAATATTTATTTGTTCTTTTATGCTGTAAGCTATGTTGCAATGCCTAGTGCTAAATAAATTATGCTCAGTTTAATTAAAATGTAGTAATCAGTAAATGCATAAATCTTTATTGTGAGCAATTGTTTTCTACATTTAACCATTTAAATATCCTCTTTAATTGAAAAACTGATGTATATATCTGTATCTCTCTATAAATATATAAATGTAGATAGATCTAGATATATTCAAATCATTGCAAAAATCACTTATATGTAAAAGTTACCTCACCTAAAGTTGTTAAATACACATGAAATTAAGTTGCTTTCTTACTTTAAAAAATTACCTTGATGAGGTAATAACTGGAATGCCAATTTGTTTACATTTTGCTTAATTAATATATTAAACAATATCATTACTTTGATGTTAGTATTAGTATTGCTGATTTTTAATGTCAATAAGTTTATATATTCAGGATTTCCTATTAGTTTCAAAGTGGAATCATTAGTACTCATTAAAGGACAACCTCCTCTTAATGAAGAGAAACATTTTCTTATACTCAGAAGCATAGACCTAGCAATGACTGATAGTAAATAAGATGACAGATATGTGCAAAACTTCAAAAGTTTTTTTTTCCTTCTTCAATTTAATGCTTTAATGCTGATCTTCAAAGAATTCTTCGTATCTCATTAAAGAGTATTAGTGAAGGTGTATCAAAAAATGGCGTAATTGGGAAAACATTTGAGTGAAACTTTGACATTTAAAAACATTCTAATTTGGGATAGGATTTTAGGAAATCTGGAATGTAGTCATGTTTTGGCTCTAATTACGTGTTAGAAAATGAGTTTTGATTGTGATTTTTCCTCTGACATATTCTCCAATTCCTCTTTCTAATTGTAGGCTGCAGTACACTAGGACAAATGTGCTTAACAAAGCTTGTATCTGTCATAGGTACTAGAAAGCGGAGATTTCTTCGCTGGTAGAATTGTGGACTATGGGAAGATAATCAAAGAAAAGAAGATTTTCCTAAGCATGAGCTGCCAAAGGTGCTCACTGATGTTTTATTCAGACAAAAGAGCTTTCTAGCTTCCTTCAGAGCTCACGTTTCAGAGTTGCTTACACTTTCCAGCACAGGAAAAGACACTCATGAAGGTAACATTACCTGCCCAATGATTAAATCAAACAACTTTTTTTTTTGCTTTTAATGACAAACTGAAGAATTTTTATTTAAGAAATAGTACAGAAAAATATTTTTAATCTGCCTTTTAAAAATTTTATTTTATCATTGGTGGGAAAAGAAAGTCAAATCAAAAGAAAGAGTTTTCTAAATATTAGAAACTTACTTATCAAATAGGAGAAGTTATCTTGTCTAAGTAACTGTGAGTAAGAAATAGTGTGGAATCCCCACATTGTTGAAGTTTGATGGTAACTGAAGAGTACGGAAGTCTGTGGGTATGTAAGTAAGAAAAACACCACATATCTTAGTTGGGAAACCTTTGATAAACATTTATTTCCTGCAATTTTATACATTCAGATCTAAGCTACAAAACCTCCAAATTTTCTGTAGACAAGGTGGAAGTTGTATTTATTTTTATTACATTTAAGAGAATAAATGGCAATACTTTCCTCATATTAGGTTTTAAAATGTGATGCATTATGAGACTTTTACAGTCTTCTATGCTAATCCTCATGTACTCTTTATTTTCAAAGATCTCCTTTCTGAGAATGCCTTACATTCAAATTTGTCAACTTCATATTTTAAACTGATTATTTTGTTTAAATATTATAATGGCATTATAATTTTTATTGTAAATGCTGCTTAAATATCTAAATTTAGTTATTTTGGATTTATGGATTATCTCTAATTCTAAATATTGAAACTTTGAAGCAAATATATGTAGGCTAAACTAAATAATAAAGTAAAAAGTCATGAAATTCTGAAGAGATTATATGTTGTATATTATGTTTGTTCTATTGAATAACTGGTAGTATTGATGATTACATTATATATACTATAATCTGACTGAAAACACAGGTCTATGTTCCTGATACAATTATAGTGAAGTACTGTGGCAAACACTATGACATATTGTAACTTAACATAATTTGTTCAAAATTACCAGAATTATATTAGTTTGAATAGTAATTTAAACATTAATTCTGAATCTAAACTGCATTAATATTAAGTAAATATCAGATTAATATTAATTTAAAATCAATTTTAATATTTTGCATTATGTTATCTATTTATATTAATACCTTATTTTACTTTTTATTTTTAGATCTATAAATGAATTTAATGTCCTTCAATATCAGTTCTATTTGAAAAGTTATAAATGTGTCCATTTGAAAGAAACCCTTGTATCCCCTAGCTTCCTGCTCCTTATATATCTTTTTCCAGTCAATTATCCAGTCTAATTTTAGTTACTCACGGGTTCTAACTGTTCCATTTATTCCCAGGAACTATACTGTTGGTACCACATGTCTACTTTTTCATACTAGACATAATTATACCTTGATATTAAATTATCCATCACAAAGTACAAAATATATATTAAGCATATTTGTAAGATGAAAAAAGCAAGTATTTTTATCTCTATTTTACAGATGAGGTAAAAGTTTCAGAGATGTTAAATGACTTCAACTACTCCCATGCTGAGAAAGTGGATAATGATTCCAGATCCACAGTCTAAGGCTCTTTCTCTAAAGTGGAAGACGCCAAGTAAAATAGAAAAGATTCAGAGTGATCATTTGAATAATTGATTTTTATAACTGGCATTCTTTACATATACTTTCTCAATACAAGGTGATAAATTCACATCTTTGAACACAAATGAAGGGGAAAACAAAACAAAACAGAATCAATATAAAAAATACACTTTTAAATGTCAGACTTTCATCCTTTAAAATCATTAAGCATATGGGAAGAAATCAATGTTGTACTCATTCAAAATCAATAAACTGCTTTTTCTCTTCACTTTATTTGTGTTGTTTGCTTTTATGATTTGTTTTATTTTTAAAGTATTTCTAATATAGCCATAAACCGTTTTAAAAATTACCAGCACATAAAAAAGTTTTCTATGTCAATATCCTCCTATAGCTGCTACTCCGATATTAGAGTGGAGTGAGCAAGATAAAATTTTAGCATGACCCAGAAAGAGATGTGCTCTTTTTATCATACTGTAAATAATTACTTAATATTATCCAATATCCAGTAAATATTCTAATTTCCAATTGCCATTACACAAATATTAATAACAGTGTGTTTGAATCAACATCCAAACACACCCGGTCATTTTCGTTGGTTGATAAATGTCTGAATTTTCTTTAGTCTACATTTTCCCATTTTTGTTTCTTTCTCTCTGTGTGTCTTTTTCTTTCCTTACGATTTTTTTTTTAGCATCCTTGTAATCTGTTTTACTTGAGAGACTTAAATATTCTGAGTTTAGATTTTGCTGGGTGAATTCCTGTGGCATGGCTGCAAATTAAAAGTTATATCAAAATGAAAAAAATTAAGGTTTTTTTTGTGTATGAGGGGAGCAGGGAAACTACATCATATGTTGCTTCCATCACTGTCTGAAATATCAGGTCTTTCTTCTTGTGTTTTACTCATTTTGAAATGTTGGGTTATGTTTTTCATTCCTTTTCTGCACATGTCTGTATTGAGCGCTTTTATACAAATATTGTGCTCCTTGTTCTCATTGTATATAGTTCAGCTACAATTTCATTTTTTTGGCACTCACAATACTTAAAGTTAATTTTTCTAAACTTATAGGGAAACAAGAGATTAACATAGCTTTTCCAGCATGCTAGTTCTAAAAATTCCTCTTCGTTTCATTTCATTTCATTAATTGTTCTTAATGTGTCAATATGCACTACACAAGAAACCAACCTGTGATAGGTGGCAGTTCTTAACCATAACAGCTTAGGTAGTAACCTCCAGCAGGGGTTTAATAAGAATTTTATTTCTGCTATTTGATCCGCTTTCTTCCTGGATCGGCCTTCTCTGCACTTGCATTCTTCCCCCATTTCCATTCTGATTTTGTCTTTTGCGCATTACTCTTCACATAGCAAGTACAAAAAAGCAAACTGTTATAATGATTGTAGAGAAGATGGTGCAAATGAAAAGGGAGACTGAACAATCCTAGAATTACTGTCTCCACAGAAATGAATAGAATATATCAGACAAATGTTATAAAAATTAATATGTTCTATTTAAAGATGTTTCAAAATATAAATGGGAGAATTAAATATACAAGAAAAACTAAAAGGCAATTAAAATAATTAAACAGATATAAAATGACACAAATTATATTCTGAAATGAAACATATTTGTACTAAAATAAAATCATAAATTTGGCAAAGAAAAGCAAATTTAAAAATGGAAAACATTTAAAGACATTCCATAGAATGTGGCACACAGAGAATTAAAAATTGAAAAATATTTTAAAAAATGAAATTATGAAATAAAGGCTAGAGGGGTGAGCAGAATCCACACTTCTAATTAGAGTTCAAAAAGAAATAGAGAAAATAATGATAACTGCTTAATAAGGCAGTCACTGAACTTTGTTCAGAATTGACAAATTGGATGCATCTGTGAATAAAGTAAATTCTGTTAATTCCAAATAGAGAAAGCAAGAGGGAGAGAGAGAGAGAGAGACAGAGAGAGAGACAGACAGATAGACAGACAGACAGACAATGGAAGAAAGACAAAAAGAAAAGCCCATATCAAGACAATTGGCAGTCGTATTCATTTGCTAGGGCTGCCTTAAAAATACATCTCAAACTACGTGGCTTAAATGGGTTAATACACTCTTGCATTCCAAACTTTGTGTCAATATCCACTTCACAAGAACCCAATCTGTGATATGTGGCAGTTCTTAATCATAATAGCTTAGGTTATAACCTCCAGCAGGTGTTTAAAAGAATTTTCTTTCTGCTTAAATAGCTGGAGGCTACAATCTAAGGTGTTATTATTAAGAACTGCCACATATCGCAGGTTGGATATCTGTGAAGTGGATATTGGCATAAAGTTTAGAGTGCAAGAGTGTATTACACTCATGAAAAGAATAGGATACAGGTTGGGCAAAGAAAGAAGTCGGACTGAAGGTGAGTTTGATAAATCCTCAGCCTACCCAGCAGGAGCTCTGGAGCATGTCAGAGTTATGCTGTATCAGGAGAAGTAGACATTTATATTTCTGCCTCACTCAGTCACTGGTTGTGAGCTACTCTGGGAAGAGAATGACTTTAGACAAGATGACTCTTTGCAACTGAGCCAGAACCTGAAGAAGCTGGCAGACGTCTGGAGGCTGCCTGCTGATCATCCTACCCACATTTACATGGGTAGCCAAGTCTTTCACTGAAGGAGATGTGGGAAGTACATCTCCTTATCTAGCACACTCCCATAGCAGAGCTGCAATTTGGAGTAAGTATTCAGTGCACCACTGCTATTTTGAACAATTTAACTGCATATAGTTTTAAAATGTCTGCTTGGCAGATGGGTTGAGAAACAGCATAAAACAATATCAAAAAATACTGGAAAAATATTGCAATAGCTATTTCAGATAAAATGTTTTAAAAGATTCTTATGAATCAAGTAGAAAAGATCAACAACCTAGTGAAGAAAATAGAAAAGAGTAAAGTAAGTATATGATAGTTTGCAAAATAAGAAGTATAACAAGCTTAAACCCTGCTGAAATCTGACCAAACACACTAATAATAAAATAAACACTTATTAAACTTAAATGAGATGGAATTTTTAGTAATCAGTTTTGTGAAGTACAAAATACTTGTAAAATTCACAATATTGACAAAGGTATAGAAAGACTGCTTTTATATGTTATTGAATTATAGGGCATATTGTATAAAATATCCTTACCGGACATTTGGCAATGTCTTCCAAATGAAAAATGTACTTCCTGTTTTTCACAGAATTTCCACTTTTAAGCATTTATCCTAGAAAGATATGCTTGTTTGGGCACAAAACCATATAGACCGGCAATGCTGGAAACAATTGTCTATCAATAAGAGTGGAGTTTAATTATAGTACTTTCAGATAATTAAATATGACATGGTAATTAAAAGAATGATGGATATGTGTACTAATAGGAAGTGAACTCAAAGGCTTACCATCATTTGAAAAACAATGCAAACCTTTACCAGAAGAAGGTACATAAGTATGTATTCATATACCAATTATTACTTTAAAGATATGCACCAATATAGATATACTGGCATATGTTAACAAAACAGCCACATACTCTGTGAAAATTATATTTTTTAAATGTTAAACTTATTTCTTAAAATGAATTTCCTTTATTCTAATGGTGTAAAAATTTATCTTAATGAAATAAGAGCACAATTGTTCTTTTAAAAAATTTATAGTTTTCTATTATTTATTATTCCATTATTTTTACATTTGTACCATATGAACATTTTGCCAAATTCTGGATCTCCATGTGATAGGCAGTTTCTGAGATGATTCAAAATCCTGACATTCATGCCCTTGTGAAACTCCTTCCGTGTGGGTTGGCTGGACCTACTGCCTTGCTCATAAAAAAGAGAATACGGAAGAAGTGATTGGATGCCATTTTCAAGATTAGATTTTAAAAGACTGTGGCTTCCATCTTGTTCAGATTCTTTTTTGTTGTTGTTGTTGAGAGGAAGTCTTACTCTGTCACCCAGGCTGGAGTGCAGTGGCATGATCTCTGCTCACTGCAACCTTCACCTCCCGAGTTCAAGCAATTCTCTTGCCTCAGCCCCCTGAGTAGCTGGGACTACAGGTGTGTGCCATCAAGCTTGGCTAATTTTTGTATTTTTAGTAGAGATGGGATTTCACCATGTTGGTCAGGCTGGTCTTGAACTCCTGACCTCAGGTGATCCGCCCACCTCGGCCTCCCAAAGTGCTGGGATTACAAGTGTCAGCCTCCGCATCTGGCCCATCTTATTCAGATTCTTACACTGGCTCTTTTGTATTACACCTACCAATGAACTGTTGGAAATTTCCAGTTGATAGCCAGCAAGAAACTGAGGCTTTCAGCCCTACAGCCACAAGGAACTGAATCTTTTCCATGGCCATCTGAGTAATCATGTGTTAATGAATTCAAAGTGCATCCTTCCTTAGGCCTTCACATGGATGGCAGAACCTGGAAAGATACCTTATTTGCAACTTTGTGAGTGACTCTGAAGCAGAGAACCTAGCTAGGTTGTGCCCAGATTTCTCACGCATAGAAACTATCAGATAGTAACTATAATTTGTTTTTAGCCAGTAAATTTAGGGAAAATTGTTATGCAGCAATAGAGAATTAATATAGGCCCCATGTTAAAAGTTAACATTTTGACAAAGACAAATATCATTGTGATAAAGTAAACCCCTGGGGTAGTAAATACATGTACAATTTTAACAAAATATATTTTTATTATAGTGCTATTAACAATGTTACCGGAAATCTAAAAATTTGACATTATTTGCCAGAAACAACGTTTATTCTCATTTTAAAGTGTCATTTTAACTGCTCTTATTATAGCTATTCTGCACATTTGAAATAATAAATTTTAACAATATAAATTGAGTTAGTGACTCTTAAAGGGTGACCTATGGATCAGTGGTATCTGATGTTGTAACATGTTAGAAACAAAAATGTCTGGCTTCTTTCCAGACCTAAAGAATCTGAAATTCTGGAGGTAGGGACCAGTGATGTATGTTTCAATCATGATCCAGGTAATTGTGATGCAAAACGCATTGTACATTTTACAGTTTTCTGCTGCTTTTGCCATGGTCCATTTATGCTTGCAGTTCAAAAGTGCATTGAGTTAGGGAATGCATGGGTTGGCAGGTCTAAGATGGCCTCATCTACATGTCTGAAGCCTCTGCAGGAATGACTAGAGGGCTGAAATTCACTCTCTCCATCCATGATTGTTCAACATTAAATAGTCTGACCTGAGTGTCCTTAGATGATATCTGGCTTACAACAGAATAAAATAATGGAAATACCTAAGGCTTTTGCAGGTGAGTCACACAGACACAGGCTCACTTTTGCTGCACTTTTGTTACGTTGTATCGGGAAAAAAAAGTCATACGACCACCCAAATTCAAGTCGAAGGAAAATAGGTAGCATCTACTTCTGGATGAGAGGAGTGGCATGTGCATATAAACGAGAGAGGTTTTATTGTCTGGTCATCTTCAAAGACAATCTCTCACACCATCAGTTAAAGTTTCAGCACAGCAATGACGTACATCACTTCCCTCATAACATACTAACTAGAACCCCATATGGCCCTACCTAATTTCAAGTAACAGGAAATATATTCCTTGGGGTACCCTGAAGAATGATCAGATTGGTGAATGACAACAATGTTTACTCTCTAAAGAGACTCACTTTCCTATGAAGTGAGTATTGATGATGATAGTGATATAACCATAAAATCCTTTTTTTCTTCCTCTTTTCTTTTTTAGTTGTAACTAATCAAGACAAGGACATATTTATTATTTAACCCCAGACTTGAAGATCATGTTGGTAATGATGCTCATGCTTGATGCTTTATAAAGAGAAGCACTGGTGCTTATAATTGAAGATTCATCAAGAAAAGCTTAGGGCACTGCTTTAAAATATTTTTTCTAAATTTATGGAGCATATTAAAATGATTGATTTTATTTTTTCCTAATGCTTTTTCATGCACTCTTCGATTTGTAGTATTTCTTGAATGAAGCTTTTTCTGAAAAATTGGTTCTGAAAATGAAACTGAAGCAATATAATTGACTTGAAAAAATGTCTGAGTTTCCGTCTTTTTTTAATTTTAATTTTGTGCTCACCAACACATCATATCTGATGGATTGAAAAGACAAGAGTATAATTAGGGAAGATGTTACATAAGAAACCCATGTATGCTCTCAGCGCCAATTGGGTTATTTCTTGTCCAGGTTCTAGCAGATATACAACTTTCTCAGAAAATAGTTATTAGAAAGCATTTCTATGTTATTACAGTTAAATAAAGTTTTATTTAATAAGATGTTTTAATATATAATATCCATTGTTTCATCTAAAGTCTTGTGTAAATATATAACAAGGCAATTCCCAAACCTTCAGATACGTGTTTTATCTTTGACCTTTGACTAATGAATGCACCCCTACAATCTTTCAGCTCATGGAGAGTAATATTGAAATGTTCCATGGCATTTTAATTATTTTCTGAAACCTAAATCAGAAGTGTGAACAAATCATCACAAATTTATGATTCTCAATCACTGATACATTTACCAAGTTTGTCTATCATCAATGACAACTGCATGTCACTACTCGTTGCTGATTTTTCAATCTATAAATAGTTATTTAATTAGAATCAACTTTTTGATAACGGTGTGCAACCCAGAAATCACTTAGCAAGCCAAGGATTGCTGAAGAAGATATGACATTAACCCACTGCATTGTTAAACTGAAAGGAAACATCATGGTAGATTATGCATGTTCAGCTGATGGTTAAGATATGGAAGTAATACTTTTGATAATATTACTATTTTTGTGTTAAAAATATGATTTCTCTGCAACTATTCTGAAAGCAATGTACAGTTAGAATCCTTAGCTTGAATAATTTTCAAATTTATTAGAACATGAGCTACTGCAAGTCTTTTTTTTTTTTTAGAGATGCAATCTCTCTCTGACATGAGGCTGGAGTGCAGTGGCATGATCTCGGCTCACTGCTACCTCCACCTCCTGGGTTCAAGCGATTCTCCTGCCTCAGCCTCCCGAGTAGCTGGGACTACAGGCATGTGCCACCAGGCCTGGCTCATTTTTGTATTTTTAGTAGAGACAGGATTTCACCATGTTGGCCAGGCTGTTCTCAAACTCCTGACCTCATGATTCGCCCACCTCGGCCTCGCAAAGTGCTGGGATTACAGGTGTGAGCCTCTGCACCCGGCAAGTCTATAGTAATCATTTTAATGTCATCTTTATCTTCTAAATGTTGCATTCATACAGATCTTTTATAAAATCTTTGGAAAAAGCTTATTTTTTGAAGTTTGACTAGTAAGAACAGAAGTTTTTGCTTTCTTGTTTTTCTCTACATAGACACATACATGAATATGAAATACTCATAGTATAGACATATATGTGTGAGAGAATATATATGCATGTATGTATATATATATGAACAAGTACATCTGAAAGATATAGGCATATATTTTATTTGTGAAATTTGTATGCATTCATGCATCGATGTGTTATATATATCCAAAAAATACATTAAAAAGGAGCCCATACACCCACATATAGACATGTTGTGGAGAACATAACTTCTTTTCCCATTGTATTTCACCACATGATACAAACTAATCACAGATGTTACTGGATATGGTTTGGCTGTGTCTCCACCCAAATCTCATCTTGAATTGTCGCTCCCATAATCCCCACATGTTGTGGGAGGGACCCAGTGGGAGATAATTGAAACATGGGAATGGTTTCCCCCGTACTCTTCTCATGGCAGTGAATAAGTCTCATGAGAGCTAATGGTTTTAAAAGGGGAAGCCCCTTTTGTTTGGTTCTCATTCTCTCTTGCCTGCCACCATGTAAGATGCGCCTTTTGCTTTCTGCTATAATTGTGAGGTCTCCCCAGCCACGTGAAACTGTGAGTCCATTAAACATGTTTTTCTTTATAAAATACCCAGTCTCAGTATGTCTTTTTCAGCAGCATGAAAACAGACTAATACATTACTTGAAACAAATGAAGCCATCTAACTATTTAAAAATTTAATTGGATGCATCTGATATACTTGATTTGGACTTGCCTCATCTTATATCTTGAATTTATTGTATCTTTTGTCAATAATTCACCCAAAATTGGGACCTATCATTAAGTAAAAATGCAATAACATAAAAGATCATGGAACATTCTAATCAGATTCATCACTAGAATAAAGAAAACGAAGAAAACCCAAAATGAATATTTTATTTTGCTTGTTTGAGGATAAAATTCAAATGTATAAATTAAAATATTTTAAAATATTTTTGAACAAGCTACTTAGATGCACTCCTCAGAATTAGCTAGTACAGTTATTTTTAGCTAAAATACATAATTATAAAAGTACGTTATTCCATTCTTGTGGAAATAGGGGTTTCTGGGAGTATTCACATTGCTAGGAGCTTGTGTCACTCCATTTTCTGTGATAGTAAAATATCTTCTCTAAAAATACTTGGTTATTACTCATTTTGCTTTCACTCTACATTACATCAAAATTTCTTTTTTTCTTATTTGTATCTTTCTCAAGACCAAAAATAGTTTATATATATTTTTAGAAGCAGTAAGGGGATGAAAATATTAAGATACACCTAGATAGTAAAACACAGAAAGTTTACCCATTTGGTCTCTGTGTCTGCGTGTGTATTTAAAATTAATCAAAATTACCTATAATTTAAAAGTATTCTAAAAGAAATTATAAGAAAAATGAAGAATTTGTACTCTTATTTATGTTTCTTTAACTCCTTTCCTGTTTAAGAGTGAATGATTTTACAATTATACTTTCATAAAGTAATCTACGTATTGATTTTTTGTCTAGGTTTCAGGTATCATTAATATATTAAAAACCAGACATTTTCAAATATGAGAGAATCATTTTTTAAACTTTAGATTGCTGAAGTGATCACTGGGAATTCCCCTGATTTTAAGAAAAGATATTACAAAAAATCAGTAGTTATAAGTGTAATTAAAGGGATATATTTTTAGACGCAGGTGTTTAGAAATATTTCCATTGGGACAGATAGCTCAATTGAGGTTTGGTCGGGAGAGCAGTATTATTGTGAGTGATACTAAATAAAAGATTTATTACAGGGATCATACCCTACACAATTGTGAGAGCAAGTGAACAATTTTCTATAGGGCAGCATTTCTCGCAATTGGGCAGAAACCCACAATAGAAAAAGGGAAGTCAGAAAACAATGAAATTTATGGCAAGCTAGAATCTGCAAAGTGAAACTGGAACCCACAATCTTCTGGGTATAGTGGTTTTTGTTTCTCACTCTTGCCTCCAAAACTCATGCAGATGTCTTTTATGTCAAACTCTAAACTAGAGTCAGTCGTGCAGGTAATCTTGAAAAATAATCCAGCCTAGAATAATTGATACAATACAAAAGGACAAAACAACTTCTGATAAATGTATGACAACCTATGGCTTAGATTCAAATGTCACATTTACTATGTATAACTTATCCAAAATGCAAATTAGAAATTATAAAACATCTGCTTTAACATTTAGAAATAAGTTGTACCCTTCTATTTTTCCCTCTTAATAAAAGACCAAAACCTACTCTATATGTATCAGAAAAGATATGAATAGTTGCATAGTATCTACAGAAAAAAATAAAACCTAAGTACTACAGGGAATATAATGAAATATTGAAATATGACAAGACACATGTTTATAATTTTGCATATTAAGGACATAGATACATCTTTCATAGAAATATAAAAATATTTTCACTGTGAATGACATATTTATTTTTATTCATTGAATGCAATTTTATCACATTTTTCATTAGTTGATCCTGCAAGTCTGATCCATTTATCTGTAATAATATCTCAGAAAACCAGCCAATAAAATAAGCAAATGAAGACTAAATCCTTCCATATGTGCATTCATTGAGATAAATATAGTTAGTGAAATCTATTTGCATTAGTAAATGAAAGCCTACTTAGAAAACTATAGTTGTGATAAATACATTTCATTTGTAAAATGGCTTACTAAACTATGGATTATGCAGTGTTTGATGTCATGTACATACGAATATAAGCACAAATATTACCACACAGAAAAGTTGAGTTTTAACATAAATGTCACAGCAAATCATTTAAAATTATCATAAATTTTAATGGCAAATGTTGCATTCTTGGCTATTTTAGTAGTTTTTATCAGTAGCATAATTGTACTTTGCATTGCACTTTTGAAACTTTCACTTTTAAAAAGGTTGGTTTCTTGTCCATAGTTGCAAATTCCAGCACAGAAACACCATTCACAAATAGGGAAAGTATACTTAGCAACATCCAAGGCTGAGAAGTACCACAAGATAATTTCATAATATGATCATTGTTAATCCTATTAAAAACAGAAAAAAAAATCATCTAATATTTATTTTAAATATTTTGTGGGCCTGTAGCTATTTTTGAATTGTATGATAACATCTGAATAGAGTAAAATCAAATTTCAGTATGTTGTAGGAAGGGTTCATACTAGAAACCTGTAGGAAGACTTCCATACAGTCTACAGATGTTTTAACTCTCTCAGGTGTATGAGTTTATCTGGTAGTACATTTTGAAGAAAAAAAAATTCCTGAAAAGTTTTTGAGATGAATTGAACAAGGAGGAGTTGAAATGTGATTCAATTCTACCAGAGACCTTAGCTGATCCTACCAGATATTCTGGAGTTGAAATGGTCTATCAAATGTGTCTAATATTGACACAAGAGAAAAGGTTTTGAGATGAATTGAACAATGGAGGAGTTGAAATGTGATTCAGTTCAACCTCAGCTGAACCTACCAGATGTTCTGGAGTTGAAATGGTCTGTCAAATGTGTCTAATATTGACACAACAGAACCAGGCCTTTATACTCATACATAAGAATAGCGATTAAACTAGAATTGCTCCCAGGAAATAGACAGAAACTTGGGTAATGCAACTATTCTCTTCCTACAGAGATTGAGTCAAGTAAGATGCCAAACACTCTCAACTGTACCTTGCTTCTGAATGGGGAATATTTTAAATGCTCTCCAGCATTCATTTAACATCAGTAGGTATAAGAGGTGGAATGTTTGTAACCCTCCAAAATTCATGTGTCTAAATCCTACCTCCTCCAATGTGATGACATCAGGATGTAGGGCCTTTTGGAGATTATTATTAAGATTAGATGGGATCATGAGGGCCCAGCCCTGTTGAATAGGATTAGTGCCCATGTAAGAGTCATGGAAGAGCCTTCTGGTCTCTCCTCTCTCCGGTGTGAAAATACAATGAGAAAACAATCATCTGCAACCTGGAAGAGGACACTCACCAATTTTCGATCATGTTGACATCCTGATCTCAGACCTTCAGCCTAATGAATAGTGTGACATAAATTTCTGTTGTTTTTGAACCACCCAATCTATGGTACTTTGTGATAGCATCCTGAATTCACTAAGACGATGGATATAAACTAAAAATATATGAATTTTTATCTCTTTACACATTAGAATATTCAGAGTAATCCAAAATCATGAACTAAGAAACAGAAATTATGTTGCACCCATATCTAAACATGGCCCACAAATTGCATTGATTTGCATGCCCCATATGATGTTGGTTGAATAGACTGGTCCTCCACCTTCTACAAGTAAGATGGACCTGTGTTATGATGTTGACTTGCTCATTCAGGTTTCTGCATAGACATCTATAGTCCTTTGAAGAAAGGTAACTCAGCTACCTAATTGTGGGTCTCTCTGTGCTTGGGTTCATCTTTTTAGTTATTAGTTCTCCGTACTTTTGCTCTACTTAAACAACCAGAATTCAAGGAGCAATTGCTGGTTTCAGGACCCACTGGGAAATGTTCTAAGATCCTCCAACTCTTTAGACAAGATCCATTAGTCTTCTCACCCTAAGAGATCATAGAGAGGAGAGAAGAAATTCCTATTTATTCAATATTCAGAGGTTTAATTAGTTGCCCTTTCTGTGTATATATACTCATTTATTTAAAATGTGAATAAATAGACACCACACTCACATTTCTAAAGAGCCGAAAAGTGACATGCTGTTAAACATTAACAACTGGCTTTAAAAAAAAAACCCTGCAGGTGTCTGTATATGCACATGTAAATTTATGATCAATTTTACCAATACAAAGAATATATGGTGCAAAATTTACATGTGATGATAAAATATATAGTACACTATAGCAAATTTTCTATAGCCAAATGAGGATCAGAAAATGCTTTGTTGATCTTTATTGAACTCTTTTTTCTGTAGTCAATATATTGTTGAAATTCACAAATCAGTGCAAATCCAATATTGACGTTTGTATGTATTTTCCTTTTCACATCTAGTGAGTAGAAAGTAGAAAGTAGAAAGTGAAACAGTAAAAACTTAGGTTGTAAATTTACCCATTCAAAAACGACGTCAGAAACTTCTTTATTAAACCAGAAAATAGTTATTGCATATTTGAATATATTTGCAATAGTTCCTTTTATGTGTCAACTTGGCTAAGCTACAGTACCCAGTTGTTTTGGCCAACACCAGTCTAGATGTTGCTGTGAAGATATTTTTGATGCAATTAACATTTAAATCAGTACACTTTGAGTAAAGCAGACTACCCTTCCAAATGTGGATGGACCTCATTCAATAAATTGAAGGCCTGAATTTCTAGCCTGTCCGTGAGCTCTATGAATACTGGACTTTTCTACTTCCAGAATTTCATGAGCCAATTACTTAAAATCTCTCCTCCCTCTATATGCATACACACACACACACACGCACACACACACATGCACACACAGTCATGAGCTGCTTGAGGATGGGTTTATTCATAAGTGATGGTGGTACCACAGATTATAGTACTGCATTTTTACTATAACTTTTCTATGTCTAGGTATGTCTAAAATACACAAAACCATTGTATTGTCTATAGTATTGAGTAGAGTAACATGTTGTACTATTATGTAGCCTAATAGCAATAGGTTGCACCACGTAGCCTATTGAAATACACTCTATGATGTCCACACAATGAAATCAAATAACAACACATTTCTTGAAACATATCTGACATGTCCTTGTCATTAAGCAATGCATGACTCTGTGTGTGTGTGTGTGTGTGTGTGTGTGTGTGTATTTTTTTCTTGAGAAACTACCTAAGACAATTTTTCAAATTTTTGTGCTGTTCAGTGTAATGGCTATACCTAATGCAATTTTATGTTTTATAAACATAATTAACAAATTATTTATCACTTCATTAAGTCAAGAAGATAAATGAAACCCTGATTTGTAGCATGTGCCAATGTTCATGGTATAAATGCTACCACCTTGGCTAATTTTGAGCTTCCAATTTGATTGTACTAAATACGAAGCTGGAAAGATTCCAGTTTGATGTCATTTTCAAATGGGTAAATTTACAACCTAAGCTTTTACTGTTTCACTTTCTACTTTCTACTCACTAGATGTGTAAAGGAAAATGCATACAAACAACAATATTGGATTTGCACTGATTTGTGAATTTCAACAATATATTGACTACAGAAGCAAGAATTCAAAAAAGATCAACAAAGCATTTTGTGATCCTCATTTGGCTATAGGAAATTTGCTATAGTGTACTATATATTTTATCATTACATGTAAATTTTGTGCCATATATTCATTGTATTGGTAAAATTGATTGTACTAAATGCATAGTAGTACACTATTATATAATAGCTCCACCATACAGATACAATAGATTTAAATTGCCACAAGTGCATAGAAAATAGTAAAATATAATCAATATGGAAGTTATATGTGGAGCGTGTGTTGCTTTTGTTTCTATTATCATTTATTTGATTATACATTTTTATAATTTAATTATTAATAATGTCACTGAATAATAAACAACTCACAAAATTTGAAAAAATAAACAGTTCTTATGGGCCATTATGTTCCAGTTGCATAAGAGCGCTGAAGCCACCTTCCAGCGATTGAAATGTGGCATGTTTTCCTAAGGGAGGCTAAGTTAAAGGGTCCCCAAAGTGTTTCCCACGTAGGCTCCTAGTTGGTTGGTAATCTGCAGAAATAAGAAGGAAAGGGAAGGAGACCAAATGGCAAGAAGAGACTGGAAAAGGAAGGGAAGAAAAAAAGTTTGATTCTAAACAGTGCAATGCATTCTTTCAGGTTTCTCCTAAACAAATATACAACAAAACCATATGCATAATCCATTAAACATACACCCACTGTCAATGGCAGGTTTTCATCGTATTATTCAGAATTACGTTGATGTTAACTAGCATGTAAAAAAAAAATAGTAATATTAACATATAAACTATGTTAGATATCTTGAGCATTACAAAAATCTTAGCTAAATCTTTAATTTATAACAAATATTATTCATTATTTTCAATATCCCAACGGAAAGATGAGTTTGAAATTTACAACACTCACAGATTTTATATCTATATATATCATTTAAATCCATATGTATTTCATGCTTATGAATTATATTCTTACAATGGTATACGAAGAGAAGATGTTATGTATATAGAGATTCTGTTATTTGCATTTCTATATTTTTCTCTTTGTAGCTATACTGTATAATCCAACTGAGCCAAATATTGTTGTGTGATTTTTATTCCTTTAATATTTCCTCTATAAAACTTCAATTTTTCTTTGCAAAAGAATATTTATTTTAATATTAATTTTTTTTTGCTATATATTGTGCTTTTATTTGTGCCCTGGTTCCTTCCACCCCCTTGGTACTGGATAATTGGTCTGTCAAATTAACAGATGAGTTAATGTAATGTGAAATAAAAGACCAAAAGGAAGCAATTATTATAATAGCAACAATTTGCAGTTACTTATGGTTTTATATTTCTGTGCATGATTTGAAAAGTAGACATACAAACCTTTTAATCTGAACTCAAAAGGAAATAAAACTCAATGGGAGAGTTTTAAAATTGTTCAGTGTTGATCTAAGTTAAATGCTGGTATTATGCAAGAAAAAAGGTTTCTGTAAGATGTTTTTAGCAAAAAAAAAACTGTGGAGAAGAATGCTTCTGGTTAAAGACTGATATGTTCTGGTTCAAGCGGGAGTTGATTGTCTAGAATTAGGCTATTTCTGTTTCCATCTCCCTCAGTATCCTCTACTTCTTTCTAAATCAACTCTGTGATACCTCCAGAGCTCAATGGGGCACAAGCTAGAAACCGCCATTGCAGTAGTGTGTTCATTCCATATGCATAGAGTTGGTAAGTATGGCTTAAATGTGTTGCAAAAATCTGATAATAGTAATAATAGCTTTTTATATTCTCTGGCAATCTCCATTTAGTAATTGCTGATTAAAACAAAGTCAATTTAGTAATAATATACAGCTTGGTTGGTATCCAAAATAAAGCAGAGCTATGCATATATATATTTGGTTTGTGTGTCTAATATATATATATATATATATATATATTTGGTTTGTGTGTTTATATGCATGTGTACATATATGTAAAGAAAGAGGAAAGGGAGAATATGCATAGTCAATATTGACAACTTTTACTCTTTGACAATCAAATATTTACTCAACATTAAACTTAAGGGTGGGACTTATGTCAACTTTGTAAATTACAAATTAAAAAGAAAAAATGCTAGTTTTGTTCTACGTGTTCAATAAGTATTTTAATTGATGTAGACTGACTCTAAAATTTCTGTGAATTTTATGGTATAACCATTCCATATTAAAACATGGGATATCTCTCATGATTAATTTAGTTTCTAGTTATATTCTCATGTGAGATTGAACTCCCTTTCTATTTGCTTTCATTTAAAACATTCATGTGGAGTAAAACTTCTATTTACTATTGTCTCCCAGTAAATATAAGACGTTGCAAGATTGGAGAAATGTATTATTTAAATTTAACACATTTTAGTATTATTACTGAGAGATTCCTTGAAGCCGGTTTTCTTCAATTTGAACACTGGCCATTCCTAAAAATTTTATCATTGTTATTCTATTAGAAACATTGAATCTTGTATTGATTTTTGGTTTTTAGCTAAATCTGAAGTGGACAAAGTGAATTCATGTATATCTTGTAGAAATTTTAAAGAATCCCCTTCAGCAGCCTAGAAGTCCATGATATAATTATATATTTTTAATTTGAGTATTAGAGCATCATACTAGAATTGTCTGAACTTTTTACACAGGCCTTAGATCTTGCAATCAAACACTCAAGGGAAAATAGTAGTATAACATAGAAGATACAGACACTAAATATAAAAGAGACAATGATTATAAAATATTTTGGAAAATGTAAATTTTACTTACAGTCTAATATCTCATCTACCTAATTTGCAATATTTCACTTTTACTATCTTAGCAGTACCCAATCTAAGGGATAAGACAATAGCATAATGCAGATGAAAATTCACTTATTTTCAGACATATTATTTTATGAATGCTAACTGAGGTACTAACTCTTGGAACCATAATCAAAGCAGTATTTTTTAAACATGGGAAATGGTACAGACAATCTTCCAAACAGAAGCAATGTTCTTCTGCCTCTTCTCTTTTTATTTCCAGTCTCACTCACCTTGATAAACTTTTTTAGCTACTTTTATTTTAATTATTCTTGTGGTTATATGCATAATTCTAACTAATATATTTTTAATATTGTTATTGATTTGTCAAATTTAGACTTTTATTTACTACTCGGTGCTTAATATCTTATAATTTTTAAAATAAGAAATATGTTAAATAATATAAGAAGTCTAGTTCAGTTGAATTTGTCACAGTTCTCTTGACTCTCCACATTTTAAGACTGATTATTTGCACTTACCAGCCTCTAGTTTTCCCATTCCATTTCCTTATCCTAATTGTGATAAAGAATATTTACATGTACATTGTCACTGTCTTTAGTATTCATTTATATCATGAATTCATTAAGAAATTTTCCTACACTTTGGTTATAAAACCTAAAACAACATTTGTATTGCAACTGCTATATAAACATAGTTTATTCTAGGCCCAATATGTGTTATAATTGTATTATTTTTAATGCCATGTCCTTTAAACATGCAAATGCAAATGATCTTAACATGTGTCTTTATATTAAAATTCTCTATCATTTGTTTAAAACCTTGCTTGCCACAATATGTTTGCATCACATCTGGAATATGAATTTAACATTTGGGTTTTGTCCAAGGTGGTGTTTGTTTCTTACTTTTTCCAGGAGTTTCTCTTAAATGATTCCCTTTATTATATCCTCAATGTTTGTGTATGCTCTCAATTGAAATGTCTTTTCTGTTCCATGTGCATTTTCATCTTTCTTTTTCCCCAAAGATCTCCATTCTGGAGCATTCTATTCTAAGTGGAATTCATTGCTCAATATTTTCCTATACAGTTGTCTTCTGGTTGACTCACTTTGTTTACTGGTTTTAAAGGACAGTTAGCTGGATATCACAACCTCTGCTCTTAAATTACTCCTCTGTTCTTCTGAATTAAATTATCAAATAAGTTCCGAAAAATAACTGCCAGTAGAATACAAATGTTCTGTGTGCTTACTTGCCTAACTATGCTTTTTGCACCCTAGATTGAATGATTGTTCAGATGTCTATAATATACTCTTAAAATATTGCACTCAAATGTTTGCAAATATTATATTAGTATTTTCTACCATTTATTATTTGTGATGCAAGGCATGATGCTACATTAGTTCTTTCTGTGGTACACATTACTTTTTTTTCTTTTTGATGTTTAATTTGTGTATTTGTCTGTTTTCATGCTGCTGATAGAGACATACCCAAGACTGGGCAATTTACAAAAGAAAGAAGTTTAATGGCCTCTCACAGTTCCATGTGGCTGGGGAGGCCTCACAATTATGGCAGAAGGTGAAAGGCACGTTTCACACGGCAGCAGACAAGAGAAGACAGCTTGTTCAGGGAAACTCCCCTTTACAAAACTATCAGATCTCCTGAGACTGATTCACTATCACAAGAATAGCACAGGAAAGACCCACCTCCATGATTCAATTATCTCCCATATGGGCATTTCCACAACATGTGGGAATTATGGGAGCTATAATTCAAGATGAGATTTGGCTCGGCACACACAAACCATATCAATTTGTTTTTGGAGTTACGAAATAAAAATTGATTGGTGATCTGTCTAAACCTGAGTCACTTTAGACAATGTCTTAGTTTTTCCCAGTCTGAAGCTTCATGATAATATATATCTGGTTAATTTCCTTTTGATACTGGCTCATATTTAGCCATTTTCTCTCACAATTTTCTTGTGATGTTAGACCTCTTAAATTCCCCCAAACATCTATTTCTATTTTTCCTTATGTATCAATTTATTTCTTTTTCATCTCATGGAGACTTCTCTGGGTCATAGTTCTTCATTCAATTTTATTTTAGGGCACAGCAATTATATCTTATTTCTGCAATACACGTTAAGAATTCTTAATTTATAAATGCAATGTCTTCTTGACACTGAGCATCTTCATTCAGGTTTTCACTACTTTCTAATCTTCTAGTTCTTTAATGTTTCTCAATTGCCTATTTTCTGGTCAGTTTATTGTTATTGTTTTTTATTTGGGCTTTTCTCTTTTATGCTTGGTTTTTCTTGATTGCCTGATCATAAAGACTCAAGGAATCAATAGCTGTGTAATTTTCTTTGCTGCTGTATGTCCAAACTAATAGTTTTAGATTTTCTAAATATTTATTCAATTTATTAAAAGAGCACTTCAATCTCCTCACAGAAATTTATGCCACCTGCTTTAATAGTTGAAAACAATTCCTAAACTGAATCGTTGTATTTTGGGGGCCTTCAATAAATGTATTTTCATTGTTATTGTTCTCATTATGCATTTTTTTCTGACCTGGCTGGCCACCCTGAACTCAGAATTTCTCTGTTGTATCATCATGCAGATGATCAACCTCTGTTAAGGGCCTTTATGGTAACATAAGAAGTGTAATTTTTTCCTACTTCCATAATCCCAAAACACAGTCCTACAAACTATAAATGTTCTGTTAAATAGAAATGTTTGAAAACTCTAAATTGTTAGGCATTTCCAAGGTAACTTCTAAGGGTAACATATTTTCTTTTTTTAAATTCATGCTTAATAGAATTAAAAAAGGTCTTTAAAATTTTATAAAATTTAAGGTAAAATACTAGTGTGTGCCCAGGCATTTGGAATTTTTGAGAGTTCAAAAATTTCAGGAAAATGTAACAGTTCACCGAATCTAGTGAGAGACAATTAATTGAGAAGTATTTGTATTTGTAAATGTATCTCTCTATTTAAAATATAACATCTCTGCAATTTATTTTCCCATTTATTCTATTCTACATTTAGTACTAAAACCCCAGAAAAAAGAGGTTATTTTCCTAATAAAAGAAAAAAATAAACTTGTTACCTTTTTATATCTATACACAATACAAAATAATAGTTGCAGGGAGGAGGAAACAAATTTTTTCTCATTGACCCAAACTTGATCTTTTGTCAGCAATCTTGCTGTGGTTTTCAACAGTGAATTTTTACCTTCCAGAACATTATCTTTCAAAATATTTCAAGTGGTTGATTTTTTCTTTCACTTTAGGAAAATGTGTGACCCAACTGACAGTAATAAAACAAAATCTGTAAACAATCAGTGCCTATTTGATCTTCAGCAAAGATTATAGTAGCTGAACAGTGACTTAGTTCACAGGGAGACACAATTTATCATTCATCTTGAAAGGTTAAAAACAGACAACTATATATATTAATTCGAACAAAGAAATATTTCCTTGGAAGTTTATAACAAAATTCAACTCTTCTGCCTCTGCACTTACTCTCAAAAAAGAAAGAAAGATGCGGTACATTTAAATGTCAGCAGAGTTAAAATGGTTCTTGGACCAAACTTAAGAAGGTTTGAATATTTTTGTCTGCATAAGACAAAACAAGGTATTCTTCTGAAGAAGAAGATATTTTTAATTACGAGTTTTGAACATTCTGTTTAAATTATAAATGGCGGTGTGCTGGTAAGTGTTTGAAAATCAGCCTCTCCTTCTAGGGGTGGAAAGAAACCTTGATTGTAGTATTTGTCAACTTTCATAATGAAAATACTCCATGGATGATTTAGTTGGCGAACATATCCTCTCTGAATGTGAATTGTGAAGAGATGCTATCAACAGGCTCTGTGAGCCACTTTTTGTCAACTCTTTAAGATTGCTAATGATGAATGTAATACTGCTTAAGATTATATTATGTAATATCTCCTGCATGTAATAAATTACGTGTTATATGTCAATACATAATACTTTAGAAATATAATTGATAATCAGTAGTTGTCTGGGCAGCTTGCTTCATAATCACAAAATGACTACATAGGGCTTATAAGTCTATCACACTTTTGCTTGAATAAAATATAAGATAAACTCATATCTGAGAATGTGACTAGAAGTCAACTGTACCTCCTGCTGCAATCTTTCAAAATGAGCAGATTGCTTCAATTCTACCTCTGGACAACCCTTTGGAAGTTGTGTTTACTAATGTGAAATTTACTGAGAGATTTTTCTTATTAAAATATGCCCAATTTCCAAAAGAATACAGATTACTTATTATCAAGATAATAATATATGTCTGTTAGTATTATTGTGAATGTTTTTACTATGAAATGAAATGTATTTGGAAGATAAAATGAAAATAACCCTTTTGAGAGAGATAGAGGATAAATAAAAAATATCTTATATTCTCAATTTCTATTTTCTGTTTTCTATCGTTGGGATACTAATGTTTTTGCATCTTTGCCCTTGCATGTGATGTGTTCACGTTTATAAATGTTGACATTTAGGGCTGGGTGGAGAATCCCAGCAATTTACCAAACATCTGATTCCAAAGCCAAATCTATCTATCTAAATTATCTATCTATCTATCTATCTATCTATCTATCTATCATCTATCTATCTATCATCTATCTAATCTGTCTACCCAATTATCTAGCCATCCATCCATTGATGTTCAGAGATAAGTTAAAATCTTGGATATTGTTGTGACAATTGCAATAATGAGTGGAGTAATAAAGATTTCAAAATAAAAAAATTAAAAAGAAATTGTGGTTACAGTTTTTCAAAAAATAGTTTCAATTGTTTAAGTCATTAGAGAGTAGACATACAATGGTGAAATTTCACTGCTCCAAATATGACTTAAAATCTTGAAAGTTTTCTGACAGATAAGATGCAGAAAACCTATAAATAAATAGAAAACATCAGCAACATTTTTTTCTATACCAGAACTTTTGAATACTGGAAGAAATATCTGAACAAATTTTTTAGTTAATTATAGTCAATGATGAGGCCAGCCCCAATAATTCTTTTACAGAGATTCTACACTAGTAATGTTTATTTCTCTCTTTATGACTTTTAGTCAGATTTTAATAACAGAATAGACACAAAATTCCAGGCCTTTGGGGTAGACAGTAAGCATTGGTCAGACATAGATTATACCTTCCTATCTTCATGCATCATTGGTATGGTTTGGCTGTGTCCCCACCCAAATCTCATCTCGAACTGTAACCACTATAATACCCACATATCTAGGGAGAGACCTGGTGGGAGGTGATTTGATCATGGGGGTGGTTTCCCCCATGTTGATGTTGTTCTCATGATGATGAGTGAGTTCTCACATGATCTAATGGTTTTATAAGGGGCTCTTCTCCCTTAACTCCTCACTCTTCTCTCTCTTGCCTGCTGCCGTGTAAGATGTGCCTCTTTCCCTCTCACCATGATTGTAAGTTTCCTGAGGCCTCCTCAGCCATTTGCAACTGTGAGTCAATTAAACTCCTTTTCTTTATAAATTACCCTGTCTAGGGTATGTCTTTATAGCAGTGTGAAAATGAAGTAATACAACCATATTGCCCTCAGAATGATTAATGTCTTCATCATTCTTATTTTTATGTGTTAAGCAGATGTAGGTGAATGACTGGGGCAAATGTAGCCTGTTGAAACCATATCCAGAAGCTGTTTCTCTTTATCTCTAATCATTTGGCTGGATGAGTATGAGTTAGCACATTTGGATGTATCTGCTCTGCAGAGTTGACTCCTCCCTGCAGCATATCATTCAAAGTCAAATGTAGGGAGCAAATATAATAGTATAATTTGTTCAGAGATCTAGGCTGTGATCTTGTGTTGCTTTTGATTAAAGAAGATGATAGTTTGATATTCACTGAACTCTTTTATAAAAGATTAGATAATCAGAAGGGAAGGAGGACCTTACATACTGCCCTTTCAAGAATTCAACAATAATTTTGATTAAGTATCTTATAAGCAGTTATAATACATACTCCCCTGAGCCCAAGAATAATGGCCCAAGTCAGATTTCATATACAGCATTCCAATATTCCCTAACACATTTATTGGCTCAGGTACAGTTTTTCCAAATGTTTGCTATTTAAAAACTTCTTTCATCCAAGATACTTGTCTCAATGTGACATCACATAGCACATCCATCATTCAGCAGGTGAAATAAATACAGAATAATTTATGCTGATAATCGACCAAAAAGACATACCATGGACAACGAAAGTTAGATAATAGATGCTTGGCAAAATCCAAGCATATATCCGAACAAATATATTGATAATAATCTCAAATTTCTATAACACTATAAAGCAGAAACATATCTTAAATAATACGTTTCAACATTAGGAAGAAGTTATAAACATATGGTGGTTTTTGATTAAAATCTATCTCTTCTAATATCAAATAACTATAATAAGTCCAAAATTTTTAATCTATGCGTTATTTGACCTATTTACATTTTGCTTGTAAGAAAAGAATTCCAAGGCTTTGCACAGATGATGTTACAAACAAAAAGAACAAAACCCATAGTACAGTAATCAAGCACAATAACAAGTAGTAAATGTATACTGACTGATAAATACAACTATAAAATAAATTGCAGAAATGAGGAGAAGTAGTATTTAAAAGCTTTAGGATAATTATAAACTTACCTAGGTTTCAATCTGCCCCAGATTACTTTAAAACATTTTTTTAAAGGGAGCACTTCAGTCCATCACATAAATTATTCATGAAATGTAAACTGAGTGTTGCCATGGAAGATTTCTTGACTATACAGTATTTTATATCATTTCTGGAATAAACAACACACAGGAGCCCTCTTAGAGATGTATCAAAGGAAAGCTTCCTCTTTGCTTGTATTTTGTACATGCTTCACCTAACCTAGACATCTAAATGGGACATCAAAATCATTGACATTCTCTGGAATATCATTGTCCCTGATGTACTATAGATCCAAAATTGAGTACCTAATTGATATGATTTGGCTCTGTGACAACACCCAAGTCTTATCTTGAATTATAATCTCTACATGTGGAAGGAGGGACCTGGTAGGAGGTGACTGGATTATAAAAGCAGTTTCCCCCATGCTGTAATAGCAGGGGAGTTCTCACCAGATCTGATGGTTTTAAAAGGGGCAGTTTCCCCTGTTCATTCTCTCTCTCCTGCCACCATATGAAGAAGGCCCTGGCTTCCCCTTTGCCTTCCGCCATGATTGTAAGTTTTCTGAAGCCTCCCCAGCCATGGAGAACTGTGAGTCAATTAAATCTCTTTTGTTTATAAATTAATCAGTCTCAGATAATGTCTTTTTAGCAGGGTGAAAATGGACTAATATATACTAATACTATGCACTAAAATAAATTAACATACACATCATTATATGAGTGGAAATACATCTGTTTATATGCCTTCTTGATCTCTAATAGTATGTCTATAGAAGGCCAACCCTGGCAGAAACGCCAAGAGTCATACAGTTAGATTACAGTTTTGTTTGCACACAATGGATGAAAAACAAAGGAGGTGAAATAACGATTGAAGTCTAACTACATGGTGGTTTGACTCACAGTGTTTTTTTTTTTTTGGGGGGGAACCATGTTTCTCCCACTAAGAAACAGACAGTAAGTAGGAGAGAAAATGGGTTCTTGACAACAAACTAATTGAAAATCATTAAAAATGTGCTCAAATATGTATTTTCTGTTGGGTAATTTAGCTTGCTTGGTGGCAGCTACTATGGCTATTTGACTCAGTGAAAACACTCAGCTCTGTCACTGACAGATGGTTCCAGCCTCCAACATCTTTAAGCACTCCCAGGTCACAGTCAGCTTCATCATGCTCCTTAGGTTTACCAGCAGAAAGCTGGTCAGGCACCATCTGTAGGGTTCTGAGCCCACTCCCACCCCTTACCCTTCCACCCCTCACTTCATATCATAATTTTTCTCTTCTGGACTTCTCCATTTCTTAATCTCATTTTCTTCCTATTTGTGGCCTTATACCTAGTGATGGAATTTTTCAGTTTCTGTGACCTCAGTGTTAAAATTTTAGTAGTTCGACCCTCCAACGTATATGTAAATAAATCCTTATACTAATTCCTCAATTTCAAAGACGTAATTTGCTTCTTACATGAATATATTCTTGGCTCATATACAAACTTTACTTTTCCTGAGAACACTAGTGTGCACGTTACCACCATTTGGTCTAAAGAAATCTACTAAGAAGTTGTCCTTTAATTTTTCAATTTGAATTTTTACATATATGAACAAGTTTGCCAACAAATTTATCCTCAATTTAGGTTATTCCTTTTAACTTTGTTGAACTAATTAACTTTTTATGCCAAATATTTATGATTTCTTCCTTGATACGAAAAATTCAAAATATCCCATCAAAACACACCAAATTTTTTTCAGCATATATAGCTTATCCCACTAAAATTTCTAAGAATTGAGTGAGTGTTAAAAATAAACTTAGTATGTCTGCATAATTTTTATTTTTAAGGATTTTTAAAACGTTTTGATCAAACATATGGAGTAATCTTAATTCATGGTTAAGTTTATACACTGAAAAAAATTTAAAAAGCTTATTTCCAAATGACAGTGATGCTAGGTTTTTAAAAAGATCTGTTTAAAAGAAAATATATAAAATAAATGTCATTGGAAAATATTTTATTTAAATGTATTTATGTTTGAATTCTGAAGAAATAGTCCTGAAAATATATAGGTTGGTAGCTTTTTATCTATTTATATAGAATTAAGAAGGCATTTTTTCCTATGGCTTGTTTGAGAAGCAATGGCCAAATTAATGTTAGCACTGATTTTTGTCTGGGACCCATGATTTAGAAAGAAGAAATGGTACCTGAGCTATTTATGGCAAAATAGATGAGTGGAATTCTCAAACAAAATGTGGTATCATTCTTCGTCTTAAAAGACAATCTGTGTCTATAGACATTTTCTGAAATCCATTGAAGTTTGTTAAAAATTTCTTTTCAAAGTTATTTTAAAATTAGACTCTATCACCTTAGATAACAAAAATTCTATGTAATTTTGAATTTGAAGTCTGACCAGTATCTATAGAGTAAATAGAAAGAAAATCTTAAAGCCAAGCTTTACTTCAGCATATAAGAAAAACTAATATTTAATGGATTCTTACAATGATCCCTGTGCTCTGTCAAGTCTGATTAACTTCCTTAAAATCTCTCCAACTTTTCTTATTTGCATTTTTGAATAAGAATTTGAATAAACACAGTACCTTGAATATTATAATTGTGCATCACTATTTCAAACCTGTAATGTAAAAATAGAAAGTGTTTTTCCTTCTTAGCAATTCATGTGTAAGTTAGATATTTAGAGATGCAATTTTCGTGCAATAACTTTAACACATAATTTATACTAAACAATTAGTCATCTGTCATAGAATTAAAACTGCATATATAAAAACTGATATATAAATTGGTCTTTCTCTAAGTGACTGACATGTGAACAATTCCCAGAGACTCTCATTAAGGAATAAATTAAAAGATCCATATTTATTCATCCACTAATTTATATTTACATATCCTACCATGTGGAAGCCTCTCTGCTAGGTGCTAGGAGAATCAGCAAACAAAACAAACTACCTGACCTCCCAATCATCAGAGTGAACAAGGAAACAATTACATGCATTCAAACTTAATCACATACATACCTACATGTAACAAAATGTGATAACTATCTGTAATAGAATTGAAGGGAGAAACTTAAGCCAATATTGGAGGGTACATCAAATAAGACGACACTTACCCAGTATATTAGTCAGGGTTCTCCGGAGAGAACCAATAGAAATAGATGGATAAATAAATGATGATAGACAGATAGATAGATAGATAGATAGATAGATAGATAGATAGATAGATAATAGAGAGACAGAGAGAGAAGAGGGGATTCCTTTAGGGGAACTGGCTCAAGTTATTATAGAGGCTGAGAATTGGCTCACATGATTATCACAGCTGAGAAGTTCCATGACAGCCCATCTGCAAATTGGAGAGCCTGGGATGCTGGTATTATGGGTCACTTCAAGTTCAAATGCATGAGAACCTGAGGAAGTGAAGAGGTGGCATCTGTGTAAGCTCTGGAGTCCAAAGGCTGGAGAGCCTGGAGTTCTGATGTCCAAGGGCAGGAGGAGACGTGTACCCCAGCTCCAGGACAGAAAAACCAATGAGCTTTTTGTCTGTTTCTGTTATATCCAGATCCCAGGCCTATTGAATAGCTCCCACCCACATTGAGGACAGGTCTTCCCCACTTAGCATACTCAGACTCACATGCCACTCTCCTTTGGAAACACTCTCACAGGCACATCTAACAATAATGCTTTATCAGTTCTAGGTATTTCTTAACCCAGTCAAGTTGACACCTAAAATTCACCTAAGAGTAGGCGAACTTTTTCTGCCAAGTATCAGTGTCTTATCCTTTTAGGCTGCAATAACACAATATCATAAAGTGGGTAGCTTATAAACAACAGAAATCTATTTCTCATAGTTGTGGAGGCTGGGAGGTCCAAGACTAAGGAGATGGCCAACTCAATCTTTGGTGAGAACCCACTTTCTGGCTCATAGATCAGCTGTTGTTTCGCTCTAACTTTACACAGCAGAAGGAGCAGGGGTTTCTCACAAGCCTCTTTTGTAATTACATGCATCCCATTTATAATGGCTTTGCCCTTATCACCTAATTACTTCCCAAAGGCCATGCCTTCTGATACCATCACTTCAGGGTTTAGGGTTTCAGTTTATAAATTGTGGAAGACATAAGCGTTCAGACCATAACAATCCGATAGTAAATATTTTAAACTTTTGAACCATATGGTCTTTGTCAAAACCATTGAATCAATGTAGCACAAAAACAGGCATAGACAGTGTGTAACGGAATGAGCCTGACTGTGCTCCAATATTTTATTTATGAATACAATAATTGAATTTCATATAATTTTCATGTCACAAAGTATTATTCTCCTTTTGCCTTTTTCAACCATGTGTTATGTAAAACTTATTTTGTGTGGCCCATGGGTCACACAACAGGTGGCAGGCTGCATTTAGGCCATGTGCAGTAATTTCCTGAACCCTGTTCTACACTATTACTCATCAAGACAAAAAAACATGTTTTTATAGAAGGGCTTATAAAAAGATAGAGGAAGCTAGAGCAATGAAATTGCTCACCAGAATAGTTAAGTGAAAACTAATATAGTACAACACAATTTCCTGGAACACTACTTTCATTAATGAATACACATTTATTTGTTCACTCAATCAAAAATATCGTGTACTTTGGTACTAGGTGCCTGCTACTCTTCTACCTACAAGGATTACAGAAAACAGATAAAACAGACAAAATTTCCTACTCTTATGAGTTTCTGTATGAAGCTTATGTTCTATATGAAGCTTATGTTACTGTAATTACTTAAAATTAAACATTTCCTACTACTTAAGCTCTCCCTTAGGTGAGAGTAATGACACAGAATAGCCATGCTGAATACAGTGAAAACATAATCTATGCTATTTATTTTGTTATTTTTTTCCCCTTGCAAGAAAATTTTTTTCAACCACAAATAGTAAAGGAAAAATACAGCAAACATCTCATATGTGCTCTCCATTCACCATTAGCATGTCTACATTTTTCATTTTTGCTATATTTATGTAATTATTTGTATTATTGACATACATTTTAAGATTCCTTCTTTTCTTTCTTTTTTTTTTTTTTTGAGATGGAGTCTCGCTCTGTTGCCCAGGCTGGAGTATAGTGGCGCAATCTTGGCTCACTGCAACCTCTGCCTCCTGGGTTCAAGCCATTCTCCTGCCTCAGCCTCCTGAGTAGCTGGGACTGAGTAGCTAGGACTATAGGCACACACCACCATGCCCCGGCTAATTTTTATATTTTTAGTAGAGACAGGGTTTCACCATGTTGTCCAGGCTGGTCTCTCAAACTCCTGACCTCAAGTGATCTGCTCCCTACCCCCTAGGCCTCCCAAAGTGCTGGGATTACAGGCTTGAAGATGTCTTTATTTACTTCACCAATTAAAAAGTTGCCTTCTAACGGAATGACTGTCATGGTTTTGATATGTAGTGCTTCAATATACATTTTTATCCATTATATCACATAATTGTTTATTTCATATGTGTGTGTTATTTAATAATTGTCCAAAATTCTATAATCATTAATATATTATGAATAAAGTTTAAATATTGATGTTTAAAAATTTGAGTAAACCTCCTCATGTCATTATAAAGTCTCCTCTGAAGACTTTTGCTATGTGGTGTTACTACAATGTTAGCTCTCTAATTCCTTTCTCATGGACACAGTTTTACCAAGAAAAATTGGAAACTTTAATAACCTCTTTGGGAAACCTGAGATCTCCTAAAACTGACTCATCTAAGACCTCTCTTTCACATCACCTCTGCTCCTCATTTCTCTCTTTCTACCTAGCTTCCTTAAATCATTTGATCTTCTCCATTTCAAAACCTCTACATATTCCATCTCACTATCCACCCCTGCCGTATCTTTTCCTTTATAGTCTACTCTTCAACTCCCTAAAGTCACTTGAATTGTGGGTACTTTGACTTTATCTGGACTCTTGAGGGGCCCCAAAATCAACCTGAAAGAGCTTATTAGAGCTTATATGAGGCTGAAAGAGCTTATTAGAAACAGACTGGATATGTTTTCAACCCAGATGGGCTTTGCTGAAATAGCTATCTGGATTGCCATTGCCATCCACACTCCACCATCTAAAGACACTTTGATCCCAACATCTGGAGATCTCAACTAACTGCCCTCTGGATCCAGAAACTGAATTCATAGCCCGTCAATAGGTTTTATATTTCTGTAGGAATCCTCTACATAAATGCCTGATTGCTTGCATTATCCAGCAAGTATCGCATATAGCCAAGACTTAACAGATGATTCAACTAGCTTTTCAAATACAGCAAATTGCTGAAATGATATACATGGATTAGGTTTCCTAATTTGTTCAGTGGGAAATCTGATTTTCCTTTTGGACAGAAGGGGAGACTGCCCAGGACTGCCTTAACATTCCCATTAGCTTGACTAAACTTTGGAGAGGCTTCTTAACTGTAGGTATTCCCTTCCTTTTTCTAGAACATTTTCTTTAGAAAACTTGTAATTGCGAATTCTTTCTCTACCCCTTTGAGACATAAATCTTTTCAAATCTCTTTTCAGTTTTACAGGTCAGGACTCTTTCTCAAGCACCTAGGAAGCATTCTTTGGAAATGTAACCACCTCCTGTCACTCCCATCATGAAAATGAAAGAAAGTTTTATGTTATCTTTTGAGTAGCCTCAATTAGCAAACAGGTGGTCCCTGATCTCTCTTCAACCCTAGATTTAAAAAACCATTCTCTGCCCCTTGTTTTTGCTTTTACAGAGTTTATCTCACCGTGATTTCTGGTCTATCTCCCCTTTTGCATTAGCTTTGAATAAAGCCGCTCTTGCCTATTTAACATTACCAGATGTAGTTTTTGCTTTAGCATTAAGAATTCTTTGGAGTTCTTCTTTCAGTTAGCATGTAGTCTACCATAGACCATTGCTCCTACCATAAGTACTATAAAACCCTGAATACACTAAGAAATCATTATTAAATTTTTGGAGAGCTGTGGATGCAAGAAGTCTAAAGAAATAATGTTCACAGAAAGTCAGTCCCTACATAGGTGATCAGAAATTGTTGGCCAGTGGGTGTATTTACTAATCTAAGAACTTTGGATTGTCATAGACGGAGGTGGTCTTCGAGAGAAAAAAGAATCCATTAGAGCTTTCAATGACTGCACTAGCTGGCATAATAGATTGTGATCTCTGCAAAACCAAAACACTCAGGCAATCTTTATACCTGCCTATTGTCCTCCACATTTTTTTTCTTGAGTGCATGGGGACAAAGAAGGGGAGCTGCACAGAAAAATGAAGAAAAATATCTGCATTGTTATGCTGAAGCTCCCAAAATCTTAGAAGATGAAAGGTCCTATGATTACACAAAGTATATTGTATTATCTTAAAAATATTAAGACTAACTGAAGCGATAACACAGTTGACTTAGGCCAACTCGTTACTGGAAATAAATAATAAGAACTCTTCTTAAACAGAAGAAAAAGTTCTCTCTCTGTGGGAAAATAATATTCACACCATATCCATATGTCTGTTAAACATAATATCTGGTATAACGTAAAAAATAGAAAACATGAAGGAAGCAGGATAATGTGTTTCAACATTAAGAGGAAGAAAGGCAATAAAAGAATGCACATCTGACTCAGACATAGAATCAGCAGACAAGGACTTTAAAATAATACTTTAAATATGTCAAAGAAGTTAGAAGAAAAGTAAAAATATGGATTAAAAAACTGAGAATTTCAACAAAATATATTCTATAAAAGTAACAAAGTGCCATTCTAAACTTAAACTTGTAAAAGAGAAAATCTAAAGTTAGCAAACCATGTTAACGGTAGAGGGAATAAAGGAAAGGACGGTGAACTAGAAGATGGGTTAGTAAAAACTAACCAAAATGAGTCACAGTTTGGGAAAAGAAAATGATTAAAAAATAGAAGAAATAATTAAAGCAACTCGGGATATGATCAAATAATATGGTCAAATAATCTAATATGCTGCAGCTTGAAATACAGGAGAGAAACAGTAAACGAAGCAGCATAAGTAATTGAATTAATAATAACTTCAAATTTTCTTAAAGAAACCGAACAGTACAATTATGAAGGTCAATATACTTTAAAAAAGATTCATGGGCCAGGCGCGGTGGCTCACGCCTGTAATCCCAGCATTTTGGGAGACAGAGGCTGGCAGATTGCCTGAGCTCAGGAGTGGGAGACCAGCTTGGGCAACACGGTGAAACCCCATCTCTATTAAAATACAAAAAATTAGCTCGGTGTGGCGGTGCTCACCTGTAGTCCCAGCTACTCGGGAGGCTGAGGCAGGAGAATGGCGTGAACCTGGGAGGCGGAGCTTGCAGTAAGCTGAGATAGTGCCACTGCACTCCAGCCTGGTGACAAAGCGAAACTTGTCTCAAAAAAAAAAAAAAAAAAAAAAAAAAAAAAAAAAAAAAAAGATTCATATGAAGTCACTAAGAAACAAATATAGAAAAGAACTGTTAAAATGAATCAAAGAATATATTGCACATGTAAGGAACAAAAGCTATAGCTAACTTTTCATCAGAAATTGTGGAAGCCAGAAAACAAATGAGATCATGTATTTAAATTTCAAAAAGTAAACACGAAAACAGAACATCCTACAAAACCCTACTTTAGTTACAAATGCAGTGTCTTTCAGTACCCCCTTTGCACTGCTTCCTGATGTTGGAGCTGGGACAGGTAACATTTCTCCTTTGTGCAAATTTAGGCTTTGCCAACAGTGGTTGCTGGAGGGAATGTGCAAGGCTATGGGACTATAGGCAGTCTCTTCTGGTTTGCGGACGCCTTCATTCCCATCTATGTGAGAGGCAGCGGATGAGTATGCAGAACCCTTGCAGCACTCATTTCAGAGGCTCCCCTGGACTAATGTCAGATGCATTTTCAGACCTTGCTCTCCCTACCTGGCGGATTCTTCCATGGGAGCTCCAACTTCACCATTACTACTTCCCCACTCTATTCTACAGGCCAGCTCCTGCAGTATTGTGCTCGCTACCAAGGGTAGGACACTTCTACTCACCAGCTCCACTCAATGCCATGTGACGAATTTCTCCACACCCAGCAGGCTGCTTGTACTTTTGGTACGCATGCGTTCTTTGACAATGCTGGGGTAGAGAGGCAGAATTCTCCTAATACCTTAGCTTCCTTCATTTTTCACTTCCCCTCACCCTTGAGGTAGCAGCTGCTGTTTTGAATTTGCCACTTTGGGACACTTTAGAGATATCTTTTACATTTTTTACTAGTTAGCTAGGAACATTTGTTTCGAATTCTCTCATTTCAAATTCCTGATGTGTTTGCATCTACTGACAAGATTCTGACTGGTAGATTGACAAATGAGAATCTAGATTCAGCAAATGCATTTTATAAAAATAAGAAAAAAGCTTTTAAAAAATTTATAAAAGCAAATGCTAAGAGAACGTTTAGATTCCCAGGAGACCCATACTGCAAGAAATCCTAAAGAAAATTATTCAGGCTGGGAAATGGTTGAAATGTTATCTCCTAATAATAAATTTACACATTTAACCATGATTTGTCTTTCTCTCACTAACTATTTTGGAGACTTTAGATATCATCCTTTTCTTGGGTATTAAACTAATATGCTAAAATAAGGTAATATATTGAGGTCAATAGAATATCTTTATATCAATATCTCTATCTATATAGTGTAGCTATAGATATACATTTGAAAAATATTTGTCCACAATAATAAACTTATCGAGATACAAAATTGTTTAGAGACTTTACAGAGTCGATTTTCTTTGTTAAAAGTAAGCATTTTTAGTGGTACCCTAATATATCAATATGAATTTGTATATGTGGAGACTGCATTAGAACATGAGAACAGAATTATCACAAATGCTAATCACTGTCAAAGTATTAAGTAGTATATATCTAAATAGACTGAAATACTTAAAAAATTCAATTATTCCTGAGTTTTAAATAATCATTTAAATTTTTCTCAGTTATTTATAAGCAGATTATTGATTTTTATATTCAAAACACTTTCCCTGTTGTTTTCTTTTTTGTAGTACAGACTTAAAAATATTTATATGCTTACACTTTAAGACATATTTATTGCACTAAAATAATTCATTAAAATTTTTTACACTAACTTTTTCCTTTTTTTTTTTTTCTTTAGGCAGAGTCTTGCTCTGTCGCCCAGGCTAGAGTGCAATGGTGCTATCTCGGCTCACTGCAAGCCCTGCCTCCCGGGTTCATGCCATTCCCCTGCCTCAGCCTCCCGAGTAGCTGGGACTACAGGAGTCCGCCACCATGCCCGGCTGGAAGTCTTATTTGCTTCCTTCTCAAGCATGCCATCAGGTTTGACTTGAGTCACCTTACAGCTAAATTGGTCTTTGAATTTTTAAATCAAAATAATATTTTTTAACGTTTCATCTAATACTAGTCAATTACATCATTTATTTCTTAATATTTTAACCACCATGCATTCTTAGAATGAAATCTTCTTTATATGGGTGAACTATTCTTTTTTGTATCGCTTTGTCTGGTTGCTAATATTTTAATTTGATTTTACCACTAATTTTTAAATGCATGCTGTCAGTAGTTTTCTCAGTCTTCATTTGTAAGGGTTTTATGTTCTTGCCATGCTAGACCTATGAAAATAATATGAAAGCTTCCCTTCATGTTAACAGAGTAAGTAATAAAATGATTGAGTCATTTGCGCCTATTTAAATGTACATTATGTATAAAATTATGTATACAAATTAAATATAAAAATTTAAATGTGTACATTACACACAGTTGCAAGAAATTAACAAAAGCTCATTTGAACTTGAAAAATTAGTCTATATCAATTGTTGTAATTTAATTCCCCTTTGTCAGGAATAAATTAAGAAATGAGTAAGCCTAAATGAATGAGATGTGAGAAGATTATTGCTTAGGCTTTGTTAAAAAAAAAAAAAAAGGTAATTTATTTTCTCCCTCTGACTTTTTTGAGTGTGTGAGTGTGTGTGTGTGTGTGTGTATACGTATATATATATATATATATATATTCATTTAAGTTTCTCTCTCATAGGAGTGTGTGTACTCCTCCTGTTTATATGTGTCTCTCTTAATATTTCTATTATATAGAGATCTATCTAGACCTACCTATAAATAGATAGATCTGGATATATTGCGAGAGAGGGAGAATAAATGTATACACTCCTATGAAACAGGTGCTTTCATAGTTGATCCTGAGAGCCATTTTATGGTCGTGTGGGTAGGCAGTCTTAGATCAAATGATATTGTATATGACTGACCACAGAGATACAAACAATCTGGAATTCTGATGAAATTCTTAACCCATTTTGTTATCCAAATCCTGAAACCATCCATAAGAAAATTTTATAAAATCAATTAAGGGGAAAAGATAAAAGTCAACTAGGCTTGCAGCACAATTAGCAATAAACATTACCAGCTTGCCCTTTGGTCCACTTCCTTGTAGCTGGTATCTGCTTACTATGCCAGGTGAACATAGACCTAGTCATAGAACTCATTGTTTCTTTTCCGCTCTGTACATAAAAGCTAAACTGTTGTGAGATGATAAGCTTTTTCTTTGATTTTTTGTTTTAGGTTTTGCATACCAACAAAATGACTTAAACCATCTGATTTAAAGGGTCCTGCAAGACGCTGACTCTTGGAAGAATGAGTTTCCACATTCTGATGATGTCATGCCCCTTACCCTGACCAATCAACAACCTCAATTTTCCAGCCCCTAGCCCTTGACAAAACCCTTAAAGACCTTTGCTCAGACCACCTTGATGAAATGGATTTGGGCCTTGAGAATTCCTCCCATTTCCATCCTCAATGGCCTTGCAGTTATATTAAACTCTTTCTCTGCTGCAAACCCTGCTGTCTCAGTGTATTGGTCTTTAGTGTGCAGCAGGCATATGAACGTGGCAGTCTTGTAACAAGTGTGTGGCTTGTCCTCCTGAAATACATATTACCAAGTGTAATAATGTATATTGTAATACACATTATGTTATAAATTCCTTTTTTTTAATGTCAACATGTGTTGAAATACAACGAAAACCCACTTAATTGTGTTAAAGTTGGAAATGGATGGAGTGATACAGAAGAAGACTGGGAAAAGCAGTAAGTCCTTTCATCCTCCTGCTTTATAGTCTGGAGACTTTTTATATCTGGTTATTTGATAATTTGTAAAAACCACTATACTGTAAATTGAGTCACAGACATAAGAGTGAATTATCAGAAAAAAAAGCAATTCAGTTAGCTAAATATATGTTCTACTGATTAAACATTTGCACATTCACTGTAGGAAGCATAATTTCATGATCTCAAGTTACAAATTGCATCTTTGTTTCCTCTGACTTAACCCTGACAATAAATTGATTGTCCTTAGTGATGGTGATGATGATACATTTGGGTTTCCTGTGTGAGTGTGAGTGTGAGTGTCTGTACATATTAAAAGCACAGGCATATTTAATATGTAGGGATTGCAAGGGCCTGCGACTTGATCGGTGCTTTCTAGCAAGTCAAAGCAGTTCTGGTTAGGAGTACCTGCTTTGCAATTATCTGAGAAAACACAATTGGATGTAGGCATCAATGGCAAAGTATAATAAATGATAAACATTTCCCTGGAAGAAGTAACCTAATTCTACATTAATACTTTTTTTCCTAAGTAAATATTATTTAACTATTACACATCTTTACCAAAAAATTAAATGTTACTTTAATGTCTACTAAATTCCTACATTCATTTATATGGTATTTACAACCTGGTTGCACAGTGATGCATACTTTAATTTATTCAAAATTGTCATTTATATGTCCTGTGCTTTGTTAAATAATCTACTCTACCCTCAATAAAATAATTTCAAACATAGTTTCTCTAATCAGAACTTGGAAAATTGTTTTGATTTTGTTTTCTTTGCTATCTCCACAAATGATTGAAAGAAAATAAAATAACTATGGTATTAAAATGGTAATTTTAAGTAAGCCAAAATACTTTGAATGAAAATAGTCACAATGCTATTATTGTGACTTATACACTTAAAAGAGAGTATAATCTTTGCAAACAAAAGGAAAATATTATTGATAATTGAAATTATATCTGCCAGTAACATTTTTCTTTTGCCCTGATATTATTGTGTTGACTGGTATCCATAGAAAATAAGTGCACCACATATCACTTTTTAAAACAATTTATTAATATTATAAATCTTACATCCATATATTTAATAATATCTACACCAGTGAATGTAATTTTAAAAATTTTTTGTAATGTGATTGCTAAGAAAAATGGAAATAAAATAGCAAATGTTCTCAATAGATATTCATTTGTAATATTTGATTTACAGCTTAAAATGCTCATTGCTACATTATTATTATGAAGACATAAAATAGGATATGGAGTATTTTATTACCTTTAGATAAAAAGCCATTAGATATGAGCTCACAGATGAAGCACAAACATCTGAACATTTGTTAAACATATACACTATTAGTGAACAAAGTAAAAAAGGTAAAAGAATACAACCAAAATTTGTAAAATCAGAAGGAAGAGTTAAAAATTTTCATTTTAAATACTACATTTTGCTAACAATGTTTTATTTCCAATCATTTGTTTTACAAATAATCTTAAACTAACTATGAATTTGAACCTTGTGGCCTAGTTCTAATTATTTTATAATTACAAAGATTTGGTAATTGAGAATGTTTGTTCCTAAAGTTAAGAATGAAGAATAATGTATATGTAGTATCTATACTGTGCATCTCAACCAACAGAACTGCATACAATTAGCATTTCATTTTAAGAAGAATTAAAATTAAATAGTAGAAAGTGCGAGAGAGATATATTAAAGCACTCATTAATTGAAGGGACTTATCGGTGGATTATTTCACACCTGTAAGAATACTAAGAACACATTAACAGTCAGGCTTATGCATTCTACCAATGAAGATACGTGGGGCAGAAAAATAGTAATATAAACAGAGGTAAAATCCAAGTTACACTTTTCAATTTAAATTTTCCTATGAGCAGGTTATTCATAGAAACAGTTCATTGTTATGTGAAATATATTCGTTAGAGGCAATTTGGAACTGTGAAAAAGATTTTCCTCTCAGTTGTTTATTCACTTGAATGAAAAAAATAGAAATCCAATTTTCTTTCAAATATAACTTTATCTCTACCTCAAGAATCAGAACAATGCCAGCAAATTTCAAAATATCATTTACTGGATCTGATCAAAACAGCCATACCTATTTCTTGGCTTACAAAATCATGGTGTTTCTTAAACATTTCTGCATTTATCTAGAAATAATTTCATTATATTGTCTAATATCATAAATAAGTCCTACTGTACTTTGTACTGCATCTTTGGTATATGGCAACATTGTAGAACTTCTTAAAGTTTCTGAACTAGAGCCTATGATGACAAATATCTCCATACATATTCCATCAGCTGAAATTTGGTCATATAACTATGCCTGACTCAGAAAAGCAGTTTCTCTCTGTGATCATAATCAGAGCAAAACAAATTTTGTTAACAGCTACTAATCTGTGCCACAAGCCTTACGTGCATAAATTAGATAAAAAGAAAAATTGAAAAAATAGTTAAGTCCATGTGTTGAGAAATAACAATAGGAGAAACCAAAGTAAAGTAAGGTTAATTTATATGAGAGCTAAAACAAGTGCAATAAGAACTTAAGAAGAATGAGCTTATCAAAAATGTCCAAAATATTGAAACTTCTAAACAATTACATAAAAACATAAACCACTGGTTAGATTGATCAAGAAAAAGAAGTGAAATAACATAGAAATAACTATTATTTGCAGGGTAAATATTTTAGTATTCTAGATTAGTTGTGTAATTCTTAGAAAAAATTATCATAGCAGATGTATTTAAAGTAAGTATAGTCCTAAATGGATGAATAATTGTTATATAAATGAATTTATTAGCAAGATTTACCAACAAAATGCTGAGAATTTTATGAGACTTTTAATAAATCCTGAAGATAAAGAAATAGTTATGTATAAGACTAATAAATATTTTATTTAAAAAACTGGATAATGCTTTAGAAAAAATATAATTTATGAATACAGGTACAAACATTTTAAATATAAGTAAAAGTTACTAAAGTAGTTGAACATCACTGCATCTTTCGGCTGCAGCTGTTCAGTTTGGTACGCAGTTCCATTTTTCACTGGAGATTTTCCTTTCTCTTTTCTACAAACAGCTCTGCCTTAGAATGAATTTTGCCTCTTTTATACTCAATATTTTGTGTACTTGCAATGAGAGGGATTTGGATTATTTTAGTTTTAAATGTCCATATTGCTGATTTAGCTACTTTTCCTAATAAGGGTTGGCTAAGGTTGTTGCTCCATTTCTTAACATAATGACTGCATACATATTGCCTCTTTAGAGCCACATTATTGAAGATCCAGATTGTTTTGTATTTTAATATTTGATATTGAATCTATCCCCATGGATAGACTTATAAGAAATTGGTCTATTTGCATCCCAATTCAGGACCTAGAAAGATAGAACTGGGTTTCATCACTTGTCAGAAATTTCCACTCACAGAAACCATTAAAGGAGTCAGAACCTTACTTTAGTTTCTTGGAATTGTCGCTACTGAGACCCTTCTGGAGTTTGGAACATCAGCTCTGGGAGTCATTACTGTTGAATGACTGATTTCCTGTCTTCTGGTTGAGGGCTGGAAGACAAGTGACCAACAGCAGGTTACTTAGCATCTTTCTTTTTGTTTTTAATCTCTGGAGCTATTATATACACACATCCAAGCCAAGTTTCTTAAAACTGGAAATTATTAATGAGAATCTACCTATAACTACTTGGATCCCAAGTGTTATCAAATTTAGACTGGGGCCTAGCAGGAAGCAAATAACATTTTCCTAAGGACAACTTAGAGAGAGGTGAGAAAAGAATAAGGAAAGCAACAATGGATGTTGAAGCACTCGTGAAATAGCAATATGGGAAGTCTCTACCGCTATAGGCCCCAAGAGACAAAAGGAGAGAGTGAAATTACATTGGCACAGCAATTTCCAGAAACTCAAAAGAAAGATTGCCTAAGAGGTGGCAGAGGAATGTAGCCTGTTCTAGCACTGTCACAAGGCCAGGAAGGAGATAGAACTAAAAAAAGACCTTGCTTTCAATATTCTGCTGTTACCTCCAAGTCCCCAAACCCAACTCTACCAGAGGCTAGTGTATACATAACTGATTTCACAAAGATTCTCATTCAGTGGGCATTGTGCAAGGTAAAGAAGGTAAAGAACAGATCTTGGGATCCAAATGTGATTGACCTGCTTAATTCACAGAATAAATTCGTAGTCATCAGACGATATAGAAGCCAATTTTTGCTGATTAATTTTACAAAGTCTGGAGTTTTTACTTGTTTTATTAACATTACATGTGAATGGTATGACACAGTGCAGTATTGGCAAAATAAAACAAGTAAAGACCAGTAGAATACAATAGAGAGTTCAGAAATAGACCCACACATATGTGGTTAATTGATTTTGGACAAAAGTTCTAAATTAATTTAATCAGGATGGAAAAATCTTGTCAACAAATGTACTAGAACTATTGGTTAGCCAAGTGTAAACACATGAATCTTAACACTAACTTCATACAAAAATTAAATTGAAATGGATTATATACCTCAATATAAAGATCACAAATCTAATGATGCAAAACTTGTAGAAGAAAACATAGGAGAAAATGTTAGTAGCCTTGGGTTGGGCAAAGTTTCTCAAATAAGACACAAAAAGCACAAACCACAACGAGGTATCACTTCACACTTGTTAGAATGGCTACAACAAAGAAGCCTAAAAGATAAGTGTTGGCAAGGATGTGGAGAAAGGAAATCCTTGCATGCTATTATTGGAAATGATAATTAGTGCATCCATTATGGAAAACCGTATGGAAAATCTTCAAAAAATTAAAAGTAGAATTAACATATGATCCAGCAATTTCTCTACTAGGTATATATTCAATGGAAGTGAAGCAATACGTAAAAGAGATATCTGCACTCCCATGGCCATTGCAGAACTATTCACAATAGGTAAGATATGGAATCAACCTAAGTGTCCATCAATAGATGAATGGATAAAGAAAATGTGCTATACATACAAAAGAGAATAGTATTCAGCCTTACAAAAGAAGAAAAATTTGTCATTTGCAACAACATAGATAACCTGCAGGATATTAGGTTGAGCGAAATAAGCCAGACACTGAAAGACACATGCCACATGATCTTGCTTATGTGTGAAACCTAAAAAAGTTGAACTCAGAAGTAGACAGAATGGTGGTTACCAAGGGATAGGGATAGGAGTCGGGGTGGGTGGGGAGATGTTTGTCAAAAAATACAAAATTTCAGTTAGCTGGGAGGAATGAGTTCAAGAGACCTATTGTACTACCTCGTGACCATAATGAATAACAATATATTATAATCCAGAAAATTGCTGAGAGTACATTTTAAGTGTTCTCACACACCAAAAAAGTATGTCAGATAATGTATATGTTAATTAGCTCAATTTAGCCATTTCACAATTTATAGCAATAGTCACCTAATAGAATGGTTCAACTTAAGATGTTTCAACTTTGCAATGCTGTGAAGCCACTCTGTTTTTTACCTTCAATACGGTATTTAAAAAAAAAAAAATTCACAACTTTATTATAAAATAGGATTTGTGGTAGATGACTTTGTCTAACTGTAGGCTAATGTAAGTGTTCTGAGCATGTTTAAGGTAGACTATGCTAAGCTATGATGTTCACTAGGTTAGGTGTATTAAATGCTTTTTCTTTTCTATATATATGTTTTTAGACAGACCCTCACTCTGTCACCCAGGCTGGAGTACAGTGGTGTGATTTTCTCTTGGGGGGGTTCAAGCAATTCTCATGCCTCAGCCTCCCAAGTAGCTGGGATTACAAGCACATGCCACCACACTTGACTCTTTTTTTTCTCTTTTTGTTTTTTTTCGGGGGAGACAGGATTTCACAATGTTGGTCAGGCTGGTCACAAACTCCTGACCTCAAGTGATCTGTCCACCTTGGCCTCCCAAAGTGCTGGTATTACGGGCATAAGCCACTGAGCCCAGCCATCATATCATTTTTATTTGTCAATTAAAAATAAATTTAAAAAGAAAAAAATTCAGAAAAAAGCTCTTATTTTTATTAATTTTTAGTGATTCTTTCATAATGTATATGTTTTTGCATATGCTTTATATTACATAGTATGTTGGTACAACAAACAATAATACAACTATATAATAAGTAAATAAATGCATATCTTGAAAGCACAAAGTATAAAATAATTTGGACTTTGAACAAATCAGTTTTGTTCTCCAAAAGAATTTGGTAAAAACAAAAGACAAATTACACATTGGGAGAAAATATTTGCAAAACAATTACTTGACAAGTGACTTATAAACGGAATATAAAATGAGCTCTTAAAACTCAACAGTAAGAAGATAAACAGCTGCATTAAATAAGGGAGCAAATTATTTGAATAAACATTTCCCCAAAGACATACAAAGATGGCCAGTGAGTGCATAAAAAATGCTCAACTACCTTATACATTAGAGAAATGCAAATTAAAACCACAATGAGATACCACTACAAACCAAGTAGAACAGTAAGAAAGATTGTTATCAAAAGACTAACCTGCCAAGTTTTGTAATGGGGGTCCGTTCCAAGATGGCTGAATAGGAACAGCTCCGGTCTGCAGCTCCCAGTGTGATCGATGCAGAAGATGGGTGATTTCTGCATTTCCAACTGAGGTACCTGGTTCATCTCATTGGGACTGGTCAGACAGTGGATGCAAACCACAGAGAGCAAGCTGAAGCAGGGCGCGGCATCGCCTCACCGAGGAAGCACAAGAGGTTGGGAGATTTCCCTTTCCTAGCAAAAGGAAGCCATGGCAGGCTGTACCGGGAAAATCGGGACACTGCCACCTAAACACTGCTGTTTTCCAACAGTCTTAGCAAATGGAACACCAGGAGATTATATCCCGCACCTGGCTTAGCGGGTCCCACACCCACAGAACCTTGCTCACTGCTAGTCCGAGATCAAACTGCAAGGTGGCAAGCCTGGCTGGGGGAGGGGCATCTGCCATTGCTGAGGCTTGAGTAGGTAAACAAAGCCGCCAGGGAAGCTTGAACTGAGTGGAGCCCACCGTAGCTCAGTGAGGCCCACCGGCCTCTGTAGACTACACCTCTGGGGGCAGGGCATAGCTGAACAAAAGGCAGCATACAACTTCTGTAGATTTAAATGTCCCTGTCTGACAGCTCTGAAGAGAGCAGTGGTTCTCCCAGAACGGTGTTTGAGCTCTGAGAACGGAAAGACTGCCTCCTCAAGTGGGTCCCTGTCCCCCGTGTAGCCTAACTTGGAGATATCTCCCAGTAGAGGCCGACTAACCCCTCATACAGCCAGGTGCCCCTCTGAGATGAAGCTTCCAGAGGAAGGATCAGGCAGCAATATTTGGTGTTCTGCAATATTTGCTGTTCTGCAGCCTCCGCTGGTGATACTCAGGCAAACAGGATCTGGAGTGGACCTCCAGCAAACTACAACAGACCTGCAGCTGAGGGTCTAACTAGAATAAACAGTGTAGAGAAGACCTTAAATGACCTGATGGCGCTGAAAACCATGGCACGAGAACTACATGATGCATGCACAAGCTTCAGTAGCCGATTCGATCATGTGGAAGAAAGGGTATCAGTGATTGAAGATCAAATTAATGAAATGAAGAGGGAAGAGAAGTTTAGATAAAAAAGAGTAAAAAGAAATGAACAAAGCCTCCAAGAAAAATGGGACTATGTGAAAAGACCAAATCTACGTTTGATTGGTGTACCTGAAAGTGATAGGGAGAATGGAACCAAGCTGGAAAACACTCTGCAGGATATTATCCAGGAGAACTTCCCCAACCTAGCAAGGCAAGAAAACATTCAAATTCAAGAAATACAGATATCACCACAAAGATACTCCTAGAGAAGAGCAACCCCAAGACATAAAATTCTCAGATTCACTAAGGTTGAGCTGAAGGAAAAAATGTTAAGGGCAGCCAGAGAGAAAGGTCGGTTACCCACAAAGGGAAGCCCATCAGACTAACAGCAGATCTCTCGGCAGAAACTCTACAAGCCGGAAGAGAGTGGGGGCCAATATTCAACATTCTTAAAGAAAGGAATTTTCAACCCAGAATTTCATATCCAGCCAAACTAAGCTTCATAAGTGAAGGAGAAATAAAATCCTTTACAGACAAGCAAATGCTGAGAGATTTTGTCACTACCAGGCCTGTCTTACAAGAGCTCCTGAAGGAAGCACTAAACATGGAAAGGAAAAATTGGCACCAGCCACTGCAAAAACATGCCAAATTGTAAAGACCATTGATGCGAGGAAGAAACTGTGTCAACTAATGGGCAAAATAACCAGCTAACATCATAATGACAGGATCAAATTCACACATAAGAATATTAACGTTTAATGTAAATGGGCTAAATGCCCCAATTAAAAGACACAGATTGGCAAATTGGATAAAGAGTCAAGATCCATCAGTGTGCTGTATTCAGGAGACCCATCTCACATGCAGAGACACAAATAGGCTCAAAATAAAGGGATGGAGGAAGATATAAAAAGCAAATGGAAAGCAAAAAAAAAAAAAGGGTTTGCAATCCTAGTTTCTAATAAAACAGACTTTAAACCAACAAAGATCAAAAGAGACAAAGAAGGCCATTACATAATGGTAAAGGGATCATTTCAACAAGAAGTGCTGACTATCCTAATTATATATGCATCCAATACAGGAACACCCAGATTCATAAAGCAAGTCCTTAGAGACCTACAAAGAGACTTAGACACCCACGCAATAATAATGGGAGACTTTAATACCCCACTGTCAACATTAGACAAATCACGAGACTGAAAGTTAACAAGGATATCCAGGCCTTCAACTCAGCTCTGCACCAAGTGGACCTAATAGACATCTGCAGAACTCTCCCCCCCAAATCAACAAAATATATATTGTTCTCAGCATCACATCGTACTTATTCCAAAATTGACAACATAGTTGGAAGTAAAGCACTCCTCAGCAAATATAAAAGAAAAGAAGTTATAACAAACTGTCTCTCAGACCACAGTGCAATCAAATTTGAAATCAGGACTAAGAAACTCACTCAAAACCACACAACTACATGGAAACTGAACAACCTGCTCCTGAATGACTACTGGGTAAATAATGAAATGAAGGCACAAATAAAGATGTTCTTTGAAACCAATGAGAACAAAGACACAACATACCAGAATCTCTGCGACACATTTAAAGCAGTGTGTAGAGGGAAATTTATAGCACTAAATGCCCACAAGAGAAAGCAGGAAAGATCTAAAACTGACACCCTAACATCACAATTAAAAGAACAAAAGAAGCAAGAGCAAACAAATTCAAAAGCTAGCAGACAGCAAGAAATAACTAAGATCAGAACAGAACTGAAAGAGATAGAGACACAAAAAACACTTCAAAGAATCAATGAATCCAGGAGCTGGTTTTTTGAAAAGATCAACAAAATTGATAGATCACTAGCAAGACCAATAAAGAAGAGAGAAGAATCAAATAGATATAATAAAAAATGATGAAGGGGATATTACCACTGATCCCATAGAAATTCAAACTACCATCAGAGAACACCATAAATACCTCTATGCAAATAAACTAGAAAATCTAGATGAAATGAGTAAATTCCTGGACACATACACCCTCCCAAGAGTAAACCAGGAAGAAACTGAATCCCTGAATAGACCAATAACAAGCTCTGAAATTGAGGCAATAATTAATAGCCTACCAACCAAAAAAAGTCCAGGACCAGACAGATTCACAGCCAAATTCTACCAGAGGTACAAAGAGGAACTGGTACCATTCCTTCTGAAATTATTCCAACAAATAGAAAAAGAGGGAATCCTCCCTAACTCATTTTATGAGACCAGCATCATCCTGATACCAAAGCCTGACAGAGACACAACAAAAAAAGAGAATTTTAGACCAATATCCCTGATGAACATCTATGCAAAAATCCTCAATAAAATACTGGCAAACCGAATCCAGCAGCACATCAAAAAGCTTATCCACCAAGATCAAGTTGGCTTCATCCCTAGGATGGAAAGCTGGGTCAACATACGCAAATTAATAAACAAAATCCATCACATAAACAGAATCAAAGACAAAAACCACATGATTATCTCAATAGACGCAGAAAAGGCCTTCAAAAAAATTCAACAGCCTTCATGCTAAAAACTCTCAATAAACTAGGTATTGACAGAATGTATCTCAAAATAATAAGAGCTATTTATGACAAACCAACAGCCAGTATCATACTGAATGGGCAAAAACTGGAAGCATTCCCTTTGAAAACTGGCACAAGACAGGGATGCCCTCTCTCACCACCCCTATTCAACAGAGTGTTGGAAGTTCTGGCCAGGAAAATCAGGCAGGAGAAAGAAAGAAAGGGTATTCAATTAGGAAAAGAGAAAGTCAAATTGTCCCTGTTTGCAGATGACATGATTATATATTTAGAAAACCCCATCGTCTCAGCCCAAAATCTCCTTAAGCTGATAGGCACCTTCAGCAAAGTCTTAGGATACAAAATCAATGTGCGAAAATCCCAAGCATTCTTATACACCAATAACAGACAGAGAGCCAAATCATCAGTGAACTCCCATTCACAAGTGCTACAAAGAGAATAAAATACCTAGGAATCCAACTTACAAGGGATGTGAAGGCCCTCTTCAAGGAGAACTACAAACTACTGCTCAACGAAATAAAAGAGGACACAAACAAATGGAAGAACATTCCATGCGCATGGGTAGGAAGAATCAATATTGTGAAAATGGCCATACTGCCCAAGGTAATTTATAGATTCAATGCCATCCCCATCAAGCTACCAATGACTTTCTTCACAGAATTGGAAAAAGCTACTTTAAAGTTCATATGGAACCCAAAAAGAGGCTGCATTGCCAAGACAATCTTACGCCAAAAGAACAAAGCTGGAAGCATCACACTACCTGACTTCAAACTATACTACAAGTCTACAGTAACCAAAACAGCATGGTACTGGTACCAAAACAGAGATATAGACCAATGGAACAGAACAGAGGCCTCAGAAATAACAACACACATCTACAACTATCTGATCTCTGAAAAACCTGACAAAAACAAGAAATGGGGAAAGGATTCCCTATTTAATAAATGTTGCTGGGAAAACTGGCTAGCCATATGTAGGAAGCTGAAACTGGATCCATTCCTTACACCTTATACAAAAATTAATTCAAGATGGATTAAAGACTTACATGTCAGACCTAAAACCACAAAAACCCTAGAAGAAAACCTAGGCAATACCATTCAGGACATAACCATGGGCAAGGACTTCATAACTAAAACACCAAAAGCAATAGCAATAAAAGCCAAAATAGACAAATGGGATCTAATTAAACTAAAGAGCTTCTGCACAGCAAAAGAAGCTGTCATCAGCGTGAACATGCAACCTACAGAATGGGAGAAAAGTTTTGCAATCTACCCATCTGACAAAGGGCTAATATCCAGAATCTACAAAGAACTTAAACAAATTTACAAGAAAAAAATCAAACAACCCCATCAAAAATTGGGCAAAGGATATGAACAGACACTGTTCAAAAGAAGACATTTATGCAGCCAACAGACACATGAAAAAACGCTCATCATCACTGGTCATCAGAAAAATGCACACCAAAACCACAATGAGATACCATCTCACACCAGGTAGAATGGCAATCATTGAAAAATCAGGAAACAGCAGATGCTGGAGAGGATGTGGAGAAATAGGAATGCTTTTACACTGCTGGTGGGAGTATAAACTAGTTCAACCATTGTGAAAGACAGTGTGGCGATTCCTCAAGGATCTAGAACTAGAAATACCATTTGACCTGGCCATGCCATTACTGGGTATATACCCAAAGAATTATAAATCATGCTGCTATAAAAACACACGCACATGTATGTTTATTGCGGCACCATTCATAATAGCAAAGACTTGGAACCCACCCAAATATCCATCAATGATAGACTGGATTAAGAAAATGTGGCACATATACACCATGGAATACTATGCAGCCATCAAAAAGGATGAGTTCATGTCCTTTGTAGTGACATGGATGAAGCTCGAAACTATCATTCTGAGCAAACTATCGCAAAGACAGAAAACCAAACACCACGTGTTCCCACTCATAGGTAAGAACTGAACAGTGAGAACACCTGGACACAGGGCGGGGAACATCACACACCAGGGCCTGTTGTGCGGTGGGGGGATGGGGGAGGGAGAGCATTAGAAGAAATACCTAATGTAAATGGCGAGTTAAGGGTGCAGCAAACCAACATGGCACATGTATACATATGTAACAAACCTGCACTTTGTGCACATGTACAGGAAACTTAAAGTATAATTTTAAAAAAATGCATAAAAAGTGAAACTCATATGTTGTTGTTGAAAATGCACAATGGTATGGCCACTTTGGAAAATTGTTTGGGGGTTTCCTATAAAGGCAAATGCATATCTACCCTATGACTCACCAACCACATTCCTACATGTTTACCCAAACGGAGTGAAAAAATATGTCTATACCAAGACTTGTGTTTTAGCAACTTGACTAATGGAAGCAAAACCTAGAGACATCCCTAATGTACACCAACTAGTGGATACGCATATTGAGGTAAATACATGGAATAGTAAGTACTCAGCAATCAAAAAGAATGAGCTCTTGGACGTGGTGGCCGGCGCCTGTAGTCCCAGCTACTCGGGAGGCTGACGCGGGAGAATGGCGTGAACCCAGGAGGCGGAGCTTGGAGCGAGCTGACATTGAGCCACTGCACTTCCAACTCCAGCCTGTGCGACGGCGCGAGACTCCGTCTAAAAAATAAAAAATAAAAAAAAGAGCTCTTGTAAATAGACAAACAATGATGAAACTCAGATATATTCTCAGTGAGAAGGATTAGTCACAAAACAGCAAATGCTGTTTGATTCCATGTTTTTGAAATTCTGAAAAATTGAAAGCCACAGTGATACAAGGTCAAGAAGGTGAGTAAAGGGGATTGATTGCAATAAGGTATGTGGGATCTTATTTGGAGTGCTGGAAATGTCAGTATCATGACAGTGGCAGTGGTTCAAGGTTGGTCAGAAACCTCTAATTGTTTTACAGTCTATATTCTACCTTTAATCATTAGTGAAAAAAATCTCCAAATTTTAGCTTTGTGTATGAACACTAAAAACAGTTTCCATATCATAACCTCATGTGCAGCAAATTTGGCCATATGACTAAATTCTGACCAGTGATGTGAAGAAAATGAATATTTGCAACTTCGGTGTTATACATTTAAAATGATACAGCTTTCCCTCCACTTCTCTTCATACTCTGATCACATAGATGAGGACAAATTGTAGTTGATGACAGGGTAATTAATAATAGAGAAGGCACCAGAGCTCTTAGTGATCTTGAAGGATCACCTATACGCTCACATATTTCTGCATTGCTCCATACAAAAGAAAGAGTAAAATCTAGAATAGCATTCATGTCACCAAAAGCACATGTAATCCCTATTATATGTCAAGCTCATAGTCTTATCACAGCATTTTCTTCCTGATACCAGTATAATATTGAATATCTTCTATACATCTTTCTTTCCAGTTTTGTTGCAAGAATTGTATTTGATGCTCTGATGTAAAATATGAAAACAATATTTGTTGGGGATTGTAAATATGGGGGTCTGGTCTACATTAGAATTTGGCTGCTTTCTACATCAGGGTATTTATACTTTGTTGTCTTCCCCTGGAAAGCACTTACACTTTCTGGTCATGCAGTTCTTAGCTCAATTTCATATCCTTATAGAAGTCTCATTGAAAAGCCTGTCATATTGCATTATCACTCATTCATTTGTTATGTATTTGGTTTGTCTTACAAGCATTAGAAATGTTATTATTCATTCATTTGTGTTTTGTTTGTTATCTTCTTAAAAAATTTTAGAATATGAGATAAATGACTATCAGAAATTTGTTCAACATTATATTAATATTCCTGGTACTTTAAATGATGTCTAGTGTACAGTAGGAAATAAAATTTGTGAATTGACCTTATTTATGGAATAACTGTTTATAGACTAGAATTCAAATGCCTTATGTCAAGAGATAATAGTAAACGTGTACACTTGTATCAAATTATTGAGCAACTACAGTACACTAAGGGGTACGGAAAGGTTCTTCCTTCATGAGACTTTCATTCTAGGAGAAAAGATCAATGATGAACTTATAAAATAATATATATTTTGTGTACAATGCTTGTGAATATAAAAAGGACAAAGATAGAGCTGTTATTGAGTTGAAAGGGCCTAATAATTTTCATAGTCAGACAAGCTGAATTCATAAGCTCATACTTAGATGCAAGAACAGAAAGAAGTACAGGATAGTCTAGGCCAAAGGAACTGAATGAACAGGTTACTGAGTCAAGAGTTTTAGTTTTGGTTTGTTTGATTGTTTTTGCATTTCTAAGGAGTTGCAAGGGGGTCAATGTCTGAACAGTGTCATGAGAAATAGGAAAATGCTTAAAGAAACTGATGGAACATTAGCAGGTGTAAGAATACCGAGAGCATCATGGTTCAATGTAAGAATTTTTTTTAACTTCCTGTTATATTAGAAGCCACCCACAAAGCATAATGTTCATTGATCTGAATACTTTTGTAAATATTTGACTCTGGGTTGATAACTGTTGAAAAAGGGGTAACTTATGAGCAAGAAGAATATTTAGTATGCTGTTGCAATAATTAGGTGATAAGTTTTAGCTTGAAGCAAGGTGGGAGCAATAAAGGTGGCTAGGAATGGTGAGATTCTGGAAAACAGGGGCCATGGAGTATACTAAGGGATTACAAGTCAGTATGAAACAGAACAGTAGCAGCAGTGAATCTATGTTTTTCCCATAAACAATGGAGAACCACAGAGGGGAATCTGCTTACTAAAATGAAGTAGACTGAAAAGGAGAAAGCTTGGAGGTAGAATAAAGATCAAAAGTTTTGGTATTGATATGTAGATGTGTGGTGTCTTTTCGACATTTAAATGGAGTAGTAGTGTAAGTGGTCTGGAGTTCAGGGTACGTTTCTTGAAGTTAAACTCTAATTCCAAGGATAGTGTTAGCATCCCAGATTTGTTTGCATAGAGATGGCATTTAAAGCCATGAGATTGCATGAGATCACCAAGGAGAGAGTGAGCTCTTCTGTATCACTCAAGCTTTTAGATATTAGAGAGATGAAGAAGATTATTTTTTTTATGAGATATTGGAGTACTGAAGTTGTTTGTTAGGAGTAAGTGTTGAGCAAATGTCACCTGTTGCCTATTATCAGGAGTAGAAGTCAGATCAATTCTACCCACTGCATCGGGTATTAGAGGCACCAAATAAAACACGATACAGTCAGTCATGCACTCCATTGCACAATGGTTTACTTACATAGAGAAGAGACAGAACAAGATTAGTTTTAGTAGTGGGGATAAGTTCCCTCGGCCAGCTGGTCCCTCCTGGCAGCTCACACAGGGCAAGTGAGTTGGCCTTGGTGCATTCCTTGTGTGCTGCAGTAGAAAGACACTGACTCTTCCTTATCTGCAAAAGACAAATTTGGTAGTGGGGTTGGCCAGGTGACACACCATGCATACACTTAAGCAGAATAAAGAGTACACATTGAATCAGAAGCAGGGATAGATATTCTCATAAAATGTGGTAAATCCCACACAGGCTGTGGAGATTTTTTTTATCTCTTGGTAAGGAAGTAATCCAGGCCAAAGGCCCATTCTTATGTGGTGCCTTAATTATTACACCCATCCATTTATTGTTCAGACTTCATATTTGCAACTAACCATGATTTGTTGACATTGTTGTAATTGATATTTCTTTTTGGTTAGGCAATAAATTAAATTTGAAAAATAAGGTAAATTAATGTTAAGTCATAAGGATTTGTACACTTTCATAGAGAGTATCTGCTAATGTTTAATCTATTTACACTGACTTTTGTGTTTTATGATTACAACACAAAGTCACATGCAAAATGCAATCAATAAAGGAGATGTGTCATACTAATCAATAATGTTTCTGACAAGAACCAAAGAATATATGGGAGATTGAACAGAAAACCAGGCATGTTAGAAAGAGGGTAGGCATGTTTTGTAGTAGTACTTTCTCATTACTCTCATCAATAGACTATAGACTCTGCCCCCAACAATTCTTGAAAATTTTAATTGCTGGTTTGTTATAGCTTTGTGCAACTCAATTCTCATCATAATTCTTGGTGAGTTTAGTATCCACAGAGACAGGGACTCCAAAATTCTGCTCCTAAGTTCTTTAATATCTTTCCCTTTAAATGTTAATGCTTTCAGTTCACCTCAACCATCTATTCACATCATCATAAGCTACACTTTATTGTAATAATTAAGGCACCATATTTCTCATAGCATCGTATTATAAGTGACAGATTAATGGGTGAGATTCTGAAGTAACCTCCAACTACTTTATTGTTTTACTCTGACATGGTAAGCCCTGTACATGGTTTCAATTACACAGAAGAACTCTGCAACATGGAAAAGAAAATGTCTTTGCCATTTGCCAGCAGTGTTTTCTAATAATAACTCAGACTATTTAACATTTTTGGATAGAAAAGTATGACATGAAAGTAATCGTTATATTCTTTTGATATTGAATATGGAATTGAGACTTCAAAGAACAAATCTCCCAAAATAAATGTAAATAAGATGGCAATTTTTCAACTTACAAGTATCTAAATCTAAATATATTCACAGAGATAAAAACAAACAAAAGTATCACAGAAAAAAAAATCAAGGAAATGTCTGTGGTGTCAAAACTTACAACAGAGATCTGACAAAATATCAAGTCCCTCAACATGTAAATAGTAATGACTGCACAATTTTAGTTTTATAGAAACAAACAAGGTGATGGTTGCACAGCTGTAAATATACTAAAACCATTGAATTGTACTTGTCAAATGGGTATACTTTCTAGTATACCAGTATATGAATAAAACTGCTTAAAATGTATAGGCATATGTGCATATATTTATACATATCAGTGCATACATATGTGCGTGTCTACATATGTATGCATATGTGTGTATATATGTATGTGTGAGTGCATATATATGTGTGTCCATATATATGCATGTAGTCAAGAGACTATAATTTAAATTCATGAAGGGTTTTTTGTTTGTTTATATATATCTCTCACAGAGATATATATGTATCACAGATATATATATCACAGAAGTTAAAAATGTGAAAATGTGACCAAAACATTCAGAAAAATCTTACTGATAAAACGCCAAGGTCAAAATACACTGACTACTATTGTCTAAAGGATGTAACAACAGAAAATGCACATACAAACACACACACACAAGTTTTTTTTGTTGTTTGTTTTCTCGCTCCGCCACCCAGGCTGGAGTGCGGGGGCGCGATCTCGGCTCACTGCAAGCTCCGCCTCCAGGGTTCATGCTGTTCTCCTGCCTCAGCCTCCTGAGTAGCTGGGACTGCAGGTGCCTGCCACCACGCCCAGCTAATTTTTTGTATTTTTAGCAGAGACAGGGTTTCACCGTGTTAGCCAGGATGGTCTCGATCTCCTGACCTCGTGATCCACCCGCCTTGGCCTCCCAAAGTGCTGGGATTACAGGTGTGAGCCACCGCGCACGGCCCACAAGTTAATCTGTACAGTTTATCTTCTACTAGGGTGCCATGTATTGTAAAATATAAAAACAAACAAATGAACAAAATAAACTTGATGTATTTTTAACCACATTTCATTTCTTTGCTATAGAAGCAGAAAATAGAATTGTTCAGGAAGACATCATAAGATGGGAGTGGGAATCATTTAATTCAAACTTGGAAAATATGGGGAAACAACTTCCAATTGTGGTATAGATTATTTTTTAAATAATGATCCTTAAAATCATAGAAAAATTAGAGTAAAAGAAATTAAATATAGAATATCTTAGCTCTTTCATGTTGTAACAACATTAGGAACACCCTGTGTTGATGTTTATTTTCACAGTTGTTCATTCTAGAAGTGTGGAAATCATCTTAGACTTTTAGATGTTTCTAAAATGTGTATCCTACTAGAGAAATGAGATTTGCCATGAAGCTAATAAAGCCTAAATGTATGGTCCTTCACTTGCAAGTCCTCCCCAGTTTCTAAAAAGACACTAGCCCTTTGGTTATCTACTTACAAAATATTTAAAATTAATTAGGATCAAGAAAAGCTGTAACCACCTAATATATTAAAGCAAACATAAGAAAAACTCTGATACGATTTTCTCAAATTTGACAAGTGGACAATTTTTCATAAAATTACCAATGACATCAATAAAAATTTAATTTTAATAAAAACAATTTGAATCAATTATGATGTAGAAAAGACTGAGTTAATTATCTGTTCTCAGAATAGAACATAAAATAATTAAATCACTAAACTTTTCATATAGAGTCAAGAAAAAAAGATACAAATGAAGGAAAAGGATCAGAAAGTTAATGAAAATATGTTTATGTTCTGGGGGTTTGCAATATTTTTTGTATTTTTCAGCTTTTAAAAATTATTAATTTGTGTGATTTAGTTTCTAATTTTCAGTATGTATTCAGTTTATCTTAACTTAATATGGATAATTTTGCCTTTTTAAAATTAAAACAGCTTCCCTAACTGAATACGTACCTGCAAAAATCAGGATTTAGCTGGTAACTCCTTTCCAGCCACTCTTTTTTTTTTTAACTTTTATTTTAGGTCAGGGGTACATGTGTAGGTTTGTTACACAGGTAAACACGTGTCACAAGGGTTTCTTAAACAAATTATTTCATCACCCAGGTATTAAGCCCAGTATCCAACAGTTATCTTTCCTGTTCCTCTCCCTCTTTCCACCCTCCTGGCTCAAGTGGACTCCCATGTCTGTTGTTTCCTTCTTTGTATTCCTAAGTTCTTATCATTTAGCTCCTACTTACAAGTGAGAACATGTGGTATTTAGTTTTCTGTTCCTCTGTTAGTTCGTTAAGGATAATAACCTCCAGCTCCACTCATGTTTCCTCAAAAGACATGATCCTGTTCTTTTTTATACTCAGCTACTCTTTAAATTATTTTGTGGCCTCTTCTTTTCCTACTTCTCTCACCAATTCATCTGTTTGCCTTAGTTCTTCCCTGCATATTCCCTCTTTCACACTGCTTCCAAATGTGTTTTCTAACATAAACAAATCTGATCTCAAGAGACTATAATTTAAATTCATTAAGGGTTTTTTTTGTTTGTTTGTTTAAATTTCTGAAGTGTTGAACGTGCAATTCTGAAGTATTGAACATAGGTGGCCCACATCTATTCATTCATCAGTCTAACCTCCCTACTTATCTCTTCCAAAGAAGTAGGAGATTGTGTGACCAAAAACGTTTAGCTTTTTCACAACTTTCCTGTACGGTTAGAATGCTCTTTCTGAGAATGTCAACTCTCCCTCAAATTTCATTCAACCACTCTGAAGTCTTCCCTGACACCAAGCCCACAAGATAGAATCCTCACTCTTTCGTCTCTGTCATCACTAATTGCATACATACATACTGGAATCCTGTACTATAATTATTTTTTAAATATACCTTACACATGCAAATAAAATCTGTGTTCCTTTTGCTTTTTAATTTTTTAACTAAAAAATACTTTAAGCAATAAAAAAGTTCCAGAAAATATTCGAGAAATGAGAACATATATAATAAGATACTATACTTACTGAGAATGTTTTTTAGAATATAAAGTGTTACTGAACATGCTAAATTTCAGGCACATTTCTCTTATTTATTTATTTATTTAGATGGAGTCTCGCTGTGTTGCCCAGGCTGGAGTGCAGTGGCGTGATCTCGGCTCACAGCAACCTCCACCTCGTGGGTTCAAGTGATTCTCCTGTTTCAGCCTCCACACTAGCCGGGATTACAGGCTTGGCTAATGTTTGTATTTCTAGTAGAAACAGGGTTTTGTCACTTTGGCCAGGCTGGTCTTGAACTCTTGACCTCAGATGATCCGCCTGCCTTGGCCTCCCAAAGTGCTGGGATTACAGGCGTGAGCCACCGCACCTGGCCCAGGCCCACTTCTTATCAATTACTTCTTTCCCAAAAAGTAGCCATTGGCTTGCTGTCCTGATGTCCATGTGCATAGTTCCTATTCCTGCTTTATATTAAAAATATAGACTTTTTATTGTTTTAGAAAATTATTTCCTTCTCTTTCAAGACATTATATAGTGAAACATGGAGCAATAGTAACATAAATAAAGAAGGAATACATAACTTGAAAATGACTATGAGCCTCTGTAATTTTCTGTGGCCTACATAAAATGCAAACAGTAACCCTGACAGTATTTTATTTATTTTATATTTATTAGACAAATGCAATCCAACCCAAACTTTTAAGTGCTATTATTATGTCTTTTTTGGGATATATGCAGTGAAGTACAGGAAACAAGAAATGTTTCTAAGTTGTTATATTTTATACATTTCACTTTTTATGAGGCATATCTTACTGTGTATTTTATTAATGCATGTGAAGAATTCTATTTTTTTGCTGCTGTTGCTAATTAACACTGTAGAGATGATGATGAAAATATACTGTCATTATGAGGAAAGAAAGATCTTAACAGTATATTGTTATATGAACGGCAAACATAGGCCCATAAAATATCACAATTTTGAATTAGTCAAAAATACAAGCAATTATAAATATAATATTTAAAGGAAAGTTACAGAATAGTAAAATGATAAATATTAAATGTAAAAATATAACATAAATAATAAGAAAACTTAAAGCCTATTTTAGAATTGTATTTTAAAGATAAACAAATTTAAATCTTTCTATATGGTTTATTTTGTCAAAATTTTCTATTGTGAACTTTTTTCTATAAAGAGTAATGCTGCCTTAAAAAATTTGAATAACATTTAAAACTAATTCTTTTTACAAAAGTGATATTGAATGTGCAATACACATATCATTTTCAAGATTCAAATAACAAATTTAAAAATAGGTCAAGAGATATAAAATGACTGGTAAGTATAAAATTGAGTGAATATTTCAATTTTTAGAACATATTTTTAAAGGTAAATAATATTACAGTATTTGAGTTCTCCATGATTTGTGTGTTAGCAAAGGTTGTAATGAAAATTGTCAAATGACTTGCATTTTTCTTCCTTGTTAAAAGCTTTCTCATGTGGAAAGTTGTCTTACATTGTGTCAAAACAATAACCTGTCAGATTGCTAATGTTGAATACATTCTGAGAATAGCTGCCATGTACTATACTAATTGACCTTTTCGGAACGCTGAATTTGATTGGATGGACATTTCTCTCCTATTTAAAAACTCAAACCCCTGTTGAGAAGAGCTAGAATGACCATCTGTTGAAATACAGAATACTAAAAAGGTTAAAGTACACAACCAAATGCTTCAGAATATATTTCATAGTTATATTTTACTGTCTTATTTACTGTCAAAAACTATCAAAACCTGACATGATGGCATTAATTCAATTTTTGTTATTCAGAAAATAAAAAATAAAGTGAACATATTGTACTGTTATCTAGTATATTGAAGGTCTATATAACAATGTTTCTTAGTTTTGCTAAGATGTCATGAATTAGTCTAAATATGCCACCCTACAGTAAAACAACGTTTCAGTTCAGTTCAGTATAGCATTATGATAAAAACAACAAAAAAGTTAATGCCTTATATTGAATCTTAAAAGTTTAAATCATTTGAACTTCAATCATAATCATATATAATTATTACATAGTGTATAATAATATTCTAGAAATTTAGGATAGAAAAATTAAAGCACAACAGCTGATGTAGCAAAAAATAATAATAATTAAGTTTCTTTAAAAAGGCCAAGGCTTTTTTTATAGAATTATATAATCAATTGTATGATTTAAATATATGATTTATGCATATTATTTAATTATAATAGAAAATTTTCTTAACATAATTCTATGCATTTCAAAAAGTTTGATATGTATAGATTATTTTAAAATTTGGAAACACATTGAATGTAATTTATTTTAATCAAGTAAGTACCATTAAAAAATGTCATTCAATAATTTGGCAATCATAGATACATTAGATGTTATTATATTTGCTAAAACAATGAAGAAAAACAATACTGACATGACATCTTATAGACAAAAGTTGAGAAGTTTTAGAAGTATTTATTTTAATTAGAAGAGCATACAAATAATTTCTGATAGTAATTATTGCAATTAGCTATATTTTATATTTTAAACAGTTATGCAGAATTGTTTTGCCCTCTTCTATGCCTGGTATAAACATCTAGTTAACTTGTAGTTTTTCATATTTAAAAGTAAAATCAAAAGTAGCAGAAAATATAGTCTTTTTAAACAAACAGAAAGGCCTATAGAAGAAATAAATCTGCTGAATTAACACATAATATGAATATAATTTGTTAGAGTTGTTAGTGATGTAATCAGAAAGATTACAGAATACAATAAATATTAAATATCGAAGTATTAAAATAGACTCAAGAAAGCATCTTAAATATATATTGTTATATATAAAGAAATATATGATAATCAGACTTTAAACTGCTCATATACATTGTACTATATCAAGGATTGTAGTTCTTACAGTCTAACAGAATTTGTGATCCCTGAGTGGCAGAGATAAATATATACAGTAATTAACTGACATGAAATGAGTTTTATTCTTTCAAATATTCCTAGTCAGTGGTCTTAAAATCCCTGAAAGTCCATCGATGTATGCCAGTTTCATCCTATAACTTATGAAGATAAAAATAGATCTTAATATCAGCATAGGATGTAACAATATGTCGATTTCCTATTTTACCAACATGTCAGACTAAACATACTATTTTACCAACATGTCAGAATAAACATGGATGGTTCTTTTTGTGCTATTTTAAATACATAGGAAATGTTGGATAAAATATAATTTAGCATATTAAAATATATAATGAGATTAAAGAAGGAAAGAGAAACTGTTAGTTGACAAAAGGAAATAAGCACTAAAACTGATGCTACATTAGCACTGGGGTGGGTGATAATTAAACACAAAGGTAAGTTTTCAAATTAAAAGCTGAGATTTTAACACTGAACTAGGAACATGAAGGAAATATGTTCTTGAGAGTACAAAAGGAAAAATCTATGAGTAAGATAGTTTTTTATAATGGAGACTACAGAATAGCTTAATGAAAGAAGGAAAGAAGGTAGAAAGGAAGGAAGTAGGAGAGGGAGGGAGGAAGAATAAAACCCGTTTTGTCTGGCTCAAGCAGAAAAGAGACATCATGTCTCTGCCCATGACTCAGGCAGGTGACTTTCACAGGTGCGAGTACAAATCCACACATAAGTTTAATGTAATATTTGGTCTTAATAAATCTTTGTGACATCTGACAGATATTGTTAGGATAAAGTAATAACAAAAATAATAGAAACAGAGCAATATTTAAAGATAATTCTATGCAGCCATAAAAAATGATGAGTTCATGTCCTTTGTAGGGACATGGATGAAATTGGAAACCATGATTCTCAGTAAACTATCGCAAGAACAAAAAACCAAACACCGCATATTCTCACTCATAGTTGGGAATTGAACAATGAGATCACATGGACACAGGAAGGGGAATATCACACTCTGGGGACTGTGGTGGGGTGGGGGGAGGGGGGAGGGATAGCATTGGGAGATATACCTAATGCTAGATGACGCGTTAGTGGGTGCAGCGCACCAGCATGGCACATGTATACATATGTAACTAACCTGCACAATGTGCACATGTACCCTAAAACTTAAAGTATAATTAAAAAAAAAAGAATTTTCACAATTAAACAAATAATACAATGTTATGTTTGGGAATTTCACTGAGTCAAGTAAAACTAGACGGGTTTTAGTAATTGCAGAATATTAAAGCTAAAGGAACAATTTTAAGATCAAATGATAGACAGAATACCTATAAATAAACAATAAGAATGCTGACAGCAGCAGTCTGTATTTGTCAACCACATTAGAAGCCAGAAAAGAATGAGTAAACTATTTAATGTGCTTAGACATATAACTGTCAACATAGAATTCCATAGGTTAATAATATTTTCATTTTACTACTTGTGAAGTGACTTTGAACTCTCTTAAGGCAATACCACCCAACTGTAATACACGAGATGAATTGAAATGATCTGTTTAGTTAATCCTTAATAATAACAATACCTATACATTTATCATTTACTTTATAGTACATGACATATTTCCAAATGAAATGAAAACAAATCTCATATACTTTACTCATAATTTAACAGGGGAATTGTTGCAACGACATTTTACATGTTTGCTGAGTCAATGAATATATAAACATATAAGTGAATACATCGATGTAATATTATTTGGTAATTACATTTCTCTTAATTCCGTCGCTTGTCAGGAATGTCTGGTTGTAAGTGGCAACAAAAGCTATCAGAAAAAAATAGAGATTTTTCTCTTTCATTTAAGATACTACTTGTATCTATCTTACAAAATACCAGGGATGCACATGATCATAAGCACAACTTATTTAATCAGAAAATTCTGGAATAGAAAATACATTATAAAACCTATTGAAAAATCTTTGGAAAAAACAGAGTATGCAAAGTCAATTATTTTAGTTTTGAAAATGGTATAAGATTATGGTCGGATTTTATTCTAAGTCTGAAACAAATAAAAATTAAGTAAATCAATATTAAGCTTCCTGAATTGATAATTATTCATTAATAACCACATTATTCAATCATGTGATTAATACTTGATTTAATTAATAATATTTTTTTTTCACATGCTGTACACTTTCACTTGCCAGGAAATATACATTATTAGTGCAATATAGTGAAGCCACTAGGCAGTAATTATTAGAAAAAAGTCAGAGTGTGAGGTCTCCACTAGCTCTGTCATTAGTGCATGATAGGATGCTGAATACAGTTTATTCAACATTTTGCTGTTTGCCTTTTCTTTTGTCGCTCCAATTTTAGTCTAGAACTATTTTTCCCAGTTTGAACAATTCAATTTAATCTTCCTTGTAGTGTGTGGCTGGGTGCGCTGGCTCACGCCTGTAAAACTGTCTCCTTTTTTTTGTCTGTCAGTCTGTCACCCAGGCTGGAATGCAATGGTGTGATCTTGGCTAACTGCAGCCTCAACCTCCCAGGCTCAAGCAGTCCTTTCATCTCAGCTTCCCAAGTTGCTGGGGATACAGGTATGAGCCATCATATCTGGCTAATTTTTGTTTAATTTTTTACAGAGACAGAGTCTCAATATGTTGCCAGGCCAGTCTCATACTCTTGGGCTCAAGCCTCCTCCTGCCTTGGCCTCACAAATTGCTGGGATTACAGGCACGAGCCACCACACCTGGCCTCTTTCTTCTTGTAATTGACAGACAACTCCTTCTTTTCCCTCAGCACTTTAAATTTTATTCCAATTTCTGGCTCACATTGTTTCTGATAAGAAATTAACAGTAATTCTCATCCCTCCACTTACTCCCTCCCAATGTAATATGTCTGCACTCCTACCTACTCCTTCTTTTAGATTTTCTTGAACTTTCCATCATATTTGAAAATGTTTCATGCCAGCCACCAATTTTCAAGTATTTTTTCTTCCTCTCTTCATCTGGAAAACCACTTACTCAAAGCTGAACATTTTGATATTTGTTTCCTTCATCCTTGAAGAACTGGTTCATTTTTTAGAGTTTCCCACTCTATGGTGAAGTTTCTATAGTTTCAGTTGCTACATTTGAACATGTGAAGTTCATAATGAATATTCAAATGGGTAGGTTGAGTAGATAGTTGGGAATTTAGGACTATAGACTAAGGTACAGATGTGCATTTTATTGTGATCTGAATGTAGATGGTATTCAAACTCTGGTAGTGGATGATCATCAAGGAAATGAGTATAAAAAGAGAAAGCAAACATTGAATACTGAGCCTTGCAATGCTACAAAAGTAACAGATTGGGAAATCAAGAGAAACTAACAAAGGGCATTAATAAGGACCAACCTGTAAAACAGAAGAATTAAGAGTGTGTGGTGTCCTGGAAGCAAGGATGGGAAGTATTTCTGAAGGAAAAAAATCATATAGGTCAAATGCTACTGATTTGACGTTAGATGAATACAAAAATATGCTGTTGGACTGACATACTTGGAAGTTATTAGTGACACTGAAAAGAGCAGATATGATTAACTGTGGGAGATAAAGATTGCAGTGAATTGCTCAAATAAATCAGAGATAATGCAAACAAATGGAAAACCATTCCATGCCTATGGATAGGAAATATTATTATTATTAAAATGGCCATATTGCCCAAAGCAATTTACAGATTCAATGCTATTCCTATCAAACTACCAATGACATTCTCCACAGAATTAGAAAAAACATTTTTTAAATTCATATGGAACCAAAAAGGGCCCAAATAGACAAGGCAATCCTAAGTAAAACAAACAAACCTGGAGGCACCACATTACTTGATAGCATTATACTGTAATGCTACAGTAACCAAAGCAGCATGGTACTGGTACAAAAACACACACATACACCAATGGAACAGAATAGACAGCCCAGAAATACAGCTGCACACCTACAACCATCTGATCTCTGAAAAAGTCAACAAAAACAAACAGTGAGGATAGGACTCCCTGCTCAAGAAATGGTGCCGAGATAACTGGCTAGCTATATTCAGAAGACTGAAACTGGACCCCTTTCTCACACCATACACAAAAATCAACTTTAGATGGATTAAAGTCTTAAATGTAAAACCAAAAACCATAAAAATCCTGGAAGATAACCCAGGAAATACCTTTCCGGACATAGGATCTGACAAAGATTTCATGACAAAGTTGCCAAAAGCCATTGCAACAGAAACAAAAATTGACAAATAGAACCTAATTAATCTAAACAGCTCTATGCAGCAAAAGAAACTATCAACAGAGTAAACAGACAACCTAAAGAATGGAAGAAAATTTTTGGAAACTCTGCATCCAACAAAGGTCTAATATGCAGAATCTATAAGAAACTTAAATCAACAAGAAAAAAAACATTAAAAAGTGGGTAAAAGACAGGAGCAGACACTTTTCAAAAGAAAGCATACACACAACCAACAAGCATATGAGAAAATGCTTAACATCACTAATCATTAGAGAAATGTAAATCAAAACCACCATGAAATACCATCACACATTAGTCAGAATGGTTATTTTTAAAAAGTGAAAAAATAACAGATGCTAGCAGATTGCAGAGAAAAGAGAAGGCTATACACTGCTGGTGGCAATGTAACCATTGTATGTTCAACCATTGTAGAAAACAGTTTGAAAATTTGTCGAAGAACTTGAAGCAGAATTGTGATTCGACCCAGCAATTCCATCATAGTGTATATACTCAAAGTAATATAAATTGTTTACCATAAAAACACATGCACATTTATGTTCTTCACATCTATATTCACAATATTAAAGATATGAAATCAACCTAAATGTCCATAAAAAGTAAAGAGGATAAAAAGTGTTACGTATTTTACCATGAAATATTACACAGCCATAAAAAATAATACGATCACCTTCCTTGCAGCAACATGGATGAAACTAGAGACCATTATCTCAAGGGAACTAACAAAGGAACAGAAAACCAAATACCACATGTAATTGCTTATAAGTGGGAGCTAAGCATTGAGTACATATGAACATAAAGCAAAAACAAACACTGGGGCATACTTGAGAATGGAGAGTGGAAGTCAGATGAGGATCAGAAAACTACTTATTGGGTACTATGTTTAATACCTGGGTGACAATATAATTTGTACACCAAACCCCCATGACATGCAATTCACATGTAAAACAAACATTCACATGCACCCCTGAATCTAAAATAAAAGTTAAAAAATAAGTTTGTAGTGAATGTTATAAAGAATAAAAGAAAAAAAAATTGAGAGATAGTTAATAAATCTTTGCACTTTCATATAGACACATTTTATTCTCACATATATTTTCTTCATATACCTTGGAATATGTATTACAGAATAATGGCCCTCAAAAGATGTAGGCATCTTGTCCCCCAAAATGTGGTTGTGGCCCAGATTCAAGAATTGAAAAGTTACTGAATAAAGCTAAGTGATTTGCTTCACTTATCCATGAGTGGGCTGAGTGTGGTGGTTCATGCCTGTAATTTCAACACTTTGGGAGGCCAAAGCAGGAGGATTGCTTGAACCTAGGACTTGCAGACCAGCCTGGCCAAAATACAATGACTCCCATCTCTACCAAAAAAAAAGAAAAAAAAAAAGAAATGGGGCGTGGTGGTGTGTGCTGTAGTCCCGGCCACTCTAAAGGCTGAGAGAGGAGGTTGGTTTCAGCCCAGAAATTCAAGGTTGCAGTGAGTTATGGTAACACCACTGTACTCTAGCATGGGCAAGAGATTGAGACCCTGTCTCAAAATAAATAATAAATAGGCATGAGATGCAGAAGCACATCTCTATTCAAAGCAAGATTATTATGATCGTGACAAATAGGTAGACTGCTTAAATTATTGCAGCCAGCTCAATTTCCTCCTTTATAATCGCTTATATAATATGTGAAATACAGCAGACAGCTTAAAGTAAATTATCATTTTAGAATTCGTCCCTGATTCTCCAACATATAAAATCCAATGACTGGCTTTCAGGGATATATTAAGTGACATGTGGTTTTATCTATTTCCAGAAGTAACGAGCCAAGAAATATTTATAAAATTTAGAAACAATTATTTGAGACACTGAAACATAAGAACCTTAGTTTTTTTTTTTTTTTTGGCAAACATATGGTTGAATAACAACAAAATAAAACTTTAAGGCCTAGTTTTTTTTTAATTTAATAAAGCTATACTATGTTTTAATCATTTTATTCATGTACAGGAAATATATTTTTAAATTATATAAAAAGAGTAGTACATGTGACATCATGTTAAAAACTCAGATCTCAATAAGTTTTATTTTATTTTATTTTAAGTTTTGGGGTACATGTGCAGAATGTGCAGGTTTGTTACGTAGGCATACATGTGCCATGGTGGTTTGCTGCGCCTGTCAACCCAACATCTACATTTTAAGCCCCACATGCATTCGGTATTTGTCCTAATGCTCGCCCTACCCAAGACAGGTCCTGGTGTGTGATGTTCCCTTCCCTATGTCCATGTGTTCATCATTCAACTCCCACATACTAGTGAGAACATGCGGTGTTTGGTTTTTCCTGTGTAGTTTGTTGAGAATGATGGCTTCCAGTTTCATCCGTGTCCCTGCAAAGGACATGAACTTATGTTTTTTATGGCTGCATAGTATTCCTGGTGTATATGTGCCACATTTTCTTTATCCAGTCTATCATTGATGGGCATTTGGGTTGATTCGAAGTCTTTACTATTATAAATAGTGCTGCAATAATCATACATCTGCATGCGTCTTTATAGTAGAATGATTTATTATCCTTTGGGTATATGCCCAGTAATGGGATTGCTGGATCAAATGGTATTTCTGGTTCTAGATCCTTGAGGAATTGCCACACTGTCTTCCACAATGGTTGAACTAATTTACAGTGTAAAGCATTCCTATTTCTCCACAGCTTCACCAGCATCTGTTCTTTCCTGACATTTTAATAATCACCATTCTAACTGGCATGAGAAAATATCGCATTGTGGTTTTGATTTGCATTTCTCTAATGACCAGTGATAATGAGCATTTTGCATATGTTTGTTGGCTGCATAAACGTCTTATTTTGAGAAGTGTCTTTTCATATCCTTTGCCCACTTTTTGATGGGGTTGTTTGTTTTTTTTCTTGTAAATTTAAGTTCCTTGTAGATTCTGGATATTAGGCCTTTGTCAGATGGGCAGCTTGCAAAAATTTTCTCCCATTCTGTAGGTTGCCTCTTCACTCTGATAATAGTTTCTTTTGCTGTGCAGAAGTTCATTAGTTTGGCTAGATCCCATTTGTGAATTTTGGCTTTTGTTGCAATTGCTTTTGGTGTTTTAGTCATGAAGTCTTTGCCCATGCCTATGTCCTGAATGATACTGCCTAGGTTTTCTTCTAGGGTTTTTATGATTTTGAGTTTTGCGTTTAAATCTCTAATCTATCTTGAGTTAATTGTTGTATAAGGTGTAAGGGAGTGGTCCAGTTTCTCTTTTCTGCATATGGCTAGCCAGTATTCCCCACAAAATTTATTAAATAGGGAATTCTCATTGCTTGTTTTTGTCAGATGGATATAGATGTGTGGTGTTGTTTCTGAGGTCTCTGTCATGTTCCATTGATCTATATATCTGTTTTGGTACTAGTACCATGCTGTTTTGGTTACTGTAGCCTTGTAATATTGTTTGAAGTCAGGTAGGATGATGCCTGCAGCTTTGTTCTTTTTGCTTAGGATTGTCTTGGCTATACAGGCTCTTTTTTGGTTCCATTTGAAATTTAAAGTAGTTTTTTCTAATTTTGCAAAGGAAGTCACTGGCAGCTTAATGAGAATACAGTTGAATCTATAAATTACTTTGGACAGTTTGGCCATTTTCACGATATTGATTTTTCCTATCCATGAGCATGGAATGTTTTTCCATTTGTTTTTGTCCTCTCTTATTTCCTTGAGCAGTGGTTTGTAGTTCTCCTTGAAGAGGTCCTTCACATCCATTGTAAGTTGGATTCCTAGGTATTTTACTGTCCTTACAGCAGTTATTGGCTTTCTGCTTGTCTATTATTGGTGTATAGGAATGCTTGTGATTTCTGCACACTGATTTTGTATCCTGAGACTTTGCTGAAGTTACTTATCAGCTTAAGGAGATTTTGGGCTGAAACGATGGGTTTTTCTAAGTACACATTCATGTCATCTGCAAACAGAGACAATTTCACTTCCTGTCTTCCTATTTGAATACCCTTTATTTCTTTCTCTTGCCTGTTTGCCCTGGCCAGAACTTCCAATACTCTGTTGAATAAGAGTGGTGACAGAGGGCATACTTGTCTGGTGCCAGTTTTCAAAAGGAATGCTTCCAGCTTTTGCCCATTCAGTATGGTATTGGCTATAGGTTTGTCATAAATAGCTCTTATTATTTTGAGATATGTTTAATCAATACCTAGTTTATTGAGAGTTTTTAGCATGAAGGGGTGTTGAATTATATTGAAGGCTGTTTCTGCATCTATTGAGATAATCATATGGTTTTTTGGTCATTGGTTCTCTTTATGTGTTGGATTATATTTACTGATTTGTGTATGTTGAACCAGCCTTGCATCCCAGGGACAAAGTCGACTTGATCATGATGTGTAAGCTTTTTAATATGCTGCTAGATTTGGTTTGCCAGTCTTTTATTAAGGATTTTTGATCGATGTTTACCAGGGATATTGGACTGAAATTTTCTTTTTTTGTTGCATCTCTGTCAGATTTTGGTATCAGGATGATGCTGCCTCATAAAATGAGTTAGGGAGGAGTCCCTCTTTTTCTATTGTTTGGGATAGTTTCAGAAGGAATGGTACCAGCTCCTCTTTGTACCTCTGGTAGAATTCAAACACCGCATGTTCTCACCCATAGGTGGGAATTGAACAATGAGAACACATGGACACAGGATGGGGAACATCTCACACCGGGGCCTGTTGTGGGGTGGGGTGAGGGGGGAGGGATAGCATTAGGAGATATACCTAATGTTAAATGATGAGTTAATGGGTGCAGCACACCAACATGGCACATGTATACATATGTAACAAACCTGCACGTTGTGCACATGTACCCTAAAACTTAAAGTATAATTAAAAAAAAGAAATTAAAAAAAAAAAGAATTTGGCCGTGAATCTCTCTGGTCCTGAGCTCTTTTTGGTTGGTAAGCTATTAATTACTGCCCCAGTTTCAGAACTTGTTATTGGTCTATTTAGGGATTTGACTCCTTCCTGGTTTAGTCTTGGGAGGGTGTATGTGTCCAGGAATTTATCCATTTCTTCTAGTTTTTCTAGTTCATTTGTGTAGAGGTTTTTATAGTATTCTCTGATGGGGTAGTTTGTATTTCTGTGGGATTGGTGGTGATAACCTCTTTATCACCTTTTATTATGTCTATTTGATTCTTTTCTCTTTTATTCTTTATTAGTCTGGCTAGTGGTCCATCTATTTTGTTAATCTTTTCAAAAAAAAAGCACTTCCTGGAGTCATTGATTTTTTTTTTTTTGGAAGGGTTTTTCATGTCTCTATATCCTTCAGTTCTTCTCTGATCTTAGTTATTTCTTGTCTTCTGCTAGCTTTTGAATTTGTTTGCTATTGCTTCTCTAGTTCTTTTAATTGTGATGTTAGTGTGTCAATTTTAGGTCTTTCTAGCTTTCTTTTGTGGTCATTCAGTGCTATAAATGTCCCTCTTAATACTGCTTTAGCTGTGTCCCAGAGATTCTGGTACGTTTTGTCTTTGTTCTCATTGGTTTCAAATAACTTATTTATTTTTGCCTTAATTTTGTTATTTACCCAGTAGTCATTCAGGAGCAGATTGTTAAATTTCCACGTAGTTGTGTGGTTTTGAGTGAGTTTCTTAATCCTGAGTTTTAATTTGTTTGCACTGTGGTCTGAGAGACTATTAGTTATGACTGCCATTCTTTTGCATTTGCTGAGGAGTGTTTTACTTCCAATTACGTGGTCAATTTTAGAATATGTGCTATATGGCACTGAGAAGAATATATATTCTGTTGATTTGGGGTGGAGAGTAGTTCTGTAGATGTTTATTAGATCCACTTGATCCAGAGCTGAGTTCAAGTCCTAAACATCCTTGTTAATTTTCTGTCTTGTTTATCTGTCTAAAATTGACATTGGGTGTTAAAGTCTCCCACTATTATTTTGTGAAAGACTAAGTCTCTTGGTAGGTATCTAAGAACTTGTTTTATGAAGCTGGGTGGTCCTGTATTGGGTGCATATACATTTAGAATAGTTAGCTCTTCTTGTTGTATTGATCCCTTTACCATTATGTAATACCCTTCTTTGTCTTTTTTGATCATTTTTGGTTTAAATTCTGTTATATAAGAGACTAGGATTGCAACCCTTGCTTTTTTTTTGCTTTCCATTTGCTTGGTAAATATTCTTCTCTCCCTTTATTTTGAGCCTGTGTGTCTTTGCATGTGAGATGGGTCTCCTGAATATAGCAGACCAGTGGGTCTCAACTCTCTAACCAATTTTCCAGTCTGTGTCTTTTATTTGGGAGCATTTAGCCTATTTACAATTAAGGTTAATTTTTTTTTCTTTTTTTGAGCTGGAGTCTTGCTTTGTTGCCCAGGCTGGAGCACAGTGGCACAATCTCGGGTTCACTGCAACCCGCACCTCCCGGATTCAAGCAATTCTCCTGCCTCAGCCTCCTGAGTAGCTAGGATTACACATGCCCAGCCCAAGCCCAGCTAATTTTTGTATTTTTTGTAGAGATGGGGTTTTGCCATGTTGGCCAGGCTGGTCTCGAATTCCTGACTTAGTGATCCACCCACCTCGCCCCAGTGCTGGGACTACAGGCGTGAGCCACAGGGCCTGGCCTAAGGTTAATCTTGTTATGTGTGAATTTGATCCTGTCATCATGATGCTAGCTGGTTATTTTGTACATTAGTTGATGCAGTTTCTTCATAGTGTCATTGGTCTTTATATTTTGGTATGTTTTTTCAGTGGCTGGCATCAGTTTTTCCTTTCCATATTTAGATCTTCCTTCAGGAGCTCTTGTAAGGCAGGCCTGGTGGTGACAAAATATCTCAGCATTTGCTTGTATGGAAAGAATTTTATTTCTCCTTTGTTTATGAAGCTTAGTTTGGTTGGATATGAAATTTTGGCTTGAAAATTCTTTTCTTTAAGAATGTTGAATATTGGCCCCCACTCTCTTCTGGCTTGTAGGGTTTCTTCAGAGAGCCACTGTTAGTCAGATGAGCTTCCCTTTGTGGATAACCTGACATTTCTCTCTGGCTGCCCTTAGTATTTTTTTCTTTGTTTCAGCCTTGGAGAATCTGATGATTATGTGTCTTGGGGTTGCTCTTCTCGAGGAGTATCTTTGTGGTGTTCTCTGCATTTATTGAATCTGAATGTTGGCTTATCTTTCTAGGTTGGGGAAGTTCTCCTGGATAATATCCTGAAATTTGTTTTCCAGCTTCTCCCTGTCACTTTCAGGTACACCAATCAGTCATAGGTTTGATCTTTTCATATAGTCCTATCTTTCTTGGAGGCTTTGTTTGTTCCTTTCCATTATTTTTTTCTCTAATCTTGTCTTCATGCCTTATTTCATTAAGTTGATCTTCAATCTCTGATATCCTTTCTTCAACTTGATTGATTTGGCTATTGACACTTGTGTATGCTTCATGAAGTTCTGGTGCTGTGTTTTTCAGCTCCATCAGGTCATTTATGTTCCTCTCTAAACTAGTTATTCTGGTTAGCAGTTCCTGTAACCTTTTATCAAGGTTCTTAGCTTCCTTGCATTGGGTTGGAACATGCTCCTTTATCTCGTGGAGTTTGTTATTACCCACCTTCTGAACCCTACTTCTGTCAATTTGTCATCTCATTCTCTGCCCAGTTTTGTGCCCTTGCTGGAGAGGAGTTGCGATCATTTGGAGAAGAAGCATTCTGGCTTTTGTAGTTTTCAGCATTTTTGTATTGGTTTTTCCTCGTCCTCATGGATTTATCTACCTTTGATCTTTGAGGCTGACAACCTTTGGACAGGGTTTTTGTGTGGGAGTCCTTTATGTTGATGTTGATGTTGATGCTTTCTGTTTGTTAGTTTTTCTTCTAACAGTCAGGTCCTTCTTCTGCAGGTCTGCTGCAGTTTGCTGGAAGTCCACTCCAGACCCTGTTCACCTGGGTGTCACCAACGGAGGCTACAGAACAGCAAGGATTGCTGCCTGCTCCTTCCTTTGTAAGCTTCATCCCAGAGGGGCACCTGCCAGATGCCAGCCAGAACTCTCCCGTATGAGGTCTCTGTCGACCCCTGTTGGGAGGTTTCACCCAGTCAGGTGGCATGGGTGTCAGGGACCCAGCTGAGGAGGCAGTCTGTTCCTTAGAGCTGGTACACTGTGATGGGAGAATCCCTCCTGTCAGGATCAGCTGCTCTCTTCAGAGCCAGCAGGGAGGAATAATTAAATCCGGTGAAGCTGAGCCCACAACTGCCCCTTCCCCCAGGTGCTCTGTTCCAGGAAGATGGGGTTTTTTTCTATAAGGCCCTGACTGGGGCTGTTACCTTTCCTTCAGAGATGCCCTGCCCACTGAGGAGGAATCTAGAGAAGCAGGCTGGCCACAGCCACTTTGCTGCACCCAGCTCATACCTCCCAGCCTCCTTAGCACTGTAAGGGGAAAATCACCTACTAAAGCCTCAGTAATGGCAGACGCCCCTCACCCCACCAAGCTTGATCATCCCAGGTCGACTTCACACTGCTGTGCTGGCAGTAAGAATTTCAAGTCAGTGGTTCTTAGCTTGCTGGGCTCTGTGGGAGTGGGACTCATTGAGTGAGATCACTTGGTTCTATGGCTTCAGCCACCTTTCCAGGGAAGTGAACGGTTTTGTCTCACTGAGGTTCCAGGTGCCACAGGGGCACAAAAAAATACTTCTGCAGCTAGCTTGGTGTCTGCCCAAATAGCGGCCCAGTTTTGTGCTTGAAACCCAGGGCCCTTGTGGTGTAGGCACACAAGGGATTCTCCTGATCTGCAGATCGCAAAAATGATGGAAAAAGCATAGTAACCCGGCCGGGTAGCACAGTCCCTCAAGGCTTCCCTTGGCTTGGGAAAGGAAGTCCCTGGCTCCTTGTACTTCCCAGGTGAAGTGATACCCACCCCTGCTTCTGCTCTCTCTCTTTGGTTTGGACCCACTGACTAACAAGTCCCAGTGAGATGAACTGGGTACCTCAGTTGGAAATCACCTGCCTTCTGAGTTGGTCTCATTGGGAGCTGCAGATTGGAGCTGTTCCTATTTGGCCATCTTGGCCACTAAGTTTTTAAATAATGACATTATTCATTTTACATCTTACCAGTGCATTTATAGTCACAATTATTTTGAAGAATTGCCAAGATATAATCAAGACCAAGTGATTTAAAAAATGTATGCTCAAGTATTTGATATTTCAAATTATAAGAAAAGATAATATTTCTGGTCACTTATATTTAAATGTCTAAATTATTTATCTCTAAAAAGATATTTTAATAGATTCAATGCCTAAAATATGCTTGATATCAGTTAGGGAAATATAAATTGTGAAATTTGATTCAAAATATTTGGTAGTAAAACATCACCAAGAGGGGTAACTAAGTGTTGAACAGTATATTAAATTTAAATACAGATGATTCTTGACTTAACAATTCTTTGACTTAAAGTTTTTCTACTAAAATGTTGGGAAAGCAATACACATTCAATAAAAATTGTACTTTAAATTTTAAATTCTGATATTTTCCCGGGCTAGCAATGCACAGTAAGATGCTATCTCCTGATGCTGGGCAGCAGCAGCAAGCCACAGCTCCCAGTCTCTTTCAGAATTATGATGGAAAACAATGGATACTTTATATTTTCCTGAAGAACCCTAGATTTGCTAAACCAGCAAATATCCATGCCCCAGTATCTTTGTATCTTTTTTTTTTTTTTCTGAGACAAAGTCTCACTCTGTCACCCAGGTTGGAGTGCAGTGGCATGATCTTGGCTCACTGCAACCTGCACCTCCCGGGTTCAAGTGATTCTTCATGCCTCAGCTTCTCGAGTAGCTGGGATTACAGGCATGTGCCACCACCCCTGGCTAATTTTTTTGTATTTTTAGTAGAGATGGGGTTTCACCATGTTGGCCAGCTAGTCTCAAACTCCTGACCTCAAGTGATCCACCCACCTCGGCCTCCCAAAGTGCTGGGATTACAAGGGTGAGCCACCATGCTCAGCCCATGCCCCAGTACCTTCTAACAGCTGTTCTTGAGCCTCATCAGAAGAGACAGAAGTTGATGACTGTATTAGTCTGTTCTCACACTGCTAATAAAAAAATACTCAAGACTGGGTAATTTATAAAGAAAAGAGGTTTAATTGACTCACAGTTCCATGTGGCTAGGGATGCCTTACAATCATGGTGTGAGGCAAGGAGGTACAAAGTCATGTCTTACATGGTGGAAGGCAAGATAATTTGTGCAGGGGAGCTCCCATTTATAAAACCATCAGATCTCATAAGATTTATTCACTATCGTGACAATGGTATGGGGGAACCACCCCCATGATTCAATTATCTCCAACTGGCCCCATCCTTGACATGTGGGGATTAATACGATTCAAGGTGAGATTTGGGTGGGGACACAGCCAAACTACATCAATGACCCTGTCACTATAATAGCCTCATTATCCAACATTTAACTTTAGTTCGGTGCTTCAAATATTCTTCAGGCTCAGTATGCTTTTAGCTGGGTATATTAATGATGAGTACCCATACAACTGTTTTTCACATTTGGTACAGTATTCAATAAATGACATGAGATATTCAACACTTTATTATAAAATAGACTTTGCGTTAGATGATTTTACCCAAGTATAGACTAATGTAAGTGTTCTGAGCATGGTCAAGGTAGTTTAGACTAAGCAAAAGTGCTTGGTAGGCTAGATGTATTAAATGCATTTTAGACTTAGATATTTTCAATTAATGATGGATTTTTCAGTGCATAACCCCATTGTAAGTCAAGGAACTTTGATATAGATATATTATGCAAAACTAGCTTTATAAACATTTTCCAACTGTTTACTGTATTAGAGGTTTATATTCCATATGGTAAATAAATTTTTTTTCCATTGTTATTAACTATTCCTGAGACTCTGATCCTCATATGCATGTGAATGCCATTGTCTAGTTATTGGCATCATAGAAATCTCTTGATGTTATCAAGAAATAAAGGAACCAACTTTACATCCCAGGGACAAAGCCTAATTGCTCATGGTGAATTAGCTTTTCAATGTGCTGCTGGATTCAGTTTGCTAGGATTTCCTTGAGAATTTTTGCATCTATGTTCAAGGATATTAGCGTGAGGTTTTCTTTTTTTGCTTTGTCTGTGACAGGTTTTGGTATCATGATGATGTTGGCCTCACAAAATGAGTTAGGGAAAACTCATTCCTCCTCAATTTTTTGGAGTAGTTTCAGTAGGAATGGTACCAGCTCTACTTTATACATCTGGTAGAAATTGGCTGTGACTCTCTCTGGTCCTGGGCTTTTTTTTGTTTTGTTTTGTTTTTGTTTTTGTTTTTGTTTTTGTTTTTGTTTTTGTTTTTCATTAATAAGCTTTTTATTATTGATTCAATTTTGGAACTCATTATTGATCTGTTCAGCAATCCAGTTTCTTCCTGGTTTAGTCTTGGGAAGTTGTATGTGTTCACAAATTTACCTATTTCTTCTAGATTTTCTAGTTTGTTTGCATAGAACTATTCAAAATATTATCTGATTGTTATTTGTATTCCTGTTTGGTCAATTGTAATGTAAACTTTGTCATTTCTAAATATCTTTATTTGGATCTTCTCTCTTTTTTCTTCATTAGTCTCATTAGTTGTTTATCAATTTTATTAATTTTTTTAGTGGAACAACACCTGGATTCATTGATTTTTTGTATGGTTGGTTTTATTTTTGCATCTCATTTTCTTCAGTTCAGCTCAGATTTTGGTTACTCTTTGTCTTCTGCTAGCTTTGGAGTTGGTTTGCTCTTGTTTCTCTAGTTCCAGTAATTATGATGCTAGGTTGTTAATTTAATATATATTTCTAACTTTTTAATTTGGGCATTTTGGTGCTATAAACTTTACTGTTAACTCTGCTTTAGCCATTTTCCAGAGATTTTGGTATTTTATCTTTGTTCTCATTACTTTCAAATAATTTCTTGATTTCTGCGTTAATTTTTTAATTTACCCAAAAGTCATTCAGGAAGAGGTTGTTTAATTTTCAACAAAATTATATACAATTTTGTAATTGTATACAAAAAAATCACTCAAGGTGGATTAAAGACTTACACATAAAACCTAAAACTATAAAAACCTGGTAAAATAATCTAAAAAATACAATTATCAATATAGGACCTAGCAGAGATTTCATGACAAAGACTCCAAAAACCATTGCAACAAAAACAAAAATTGACAAATAGGACCAAATTAAACTAAAGAGCTTTTGCGTAGTAAAGGAAACTATCAACAGGGTAAACAGACATCTTACAAAATGGGATAAAATATTTGCAAACTATGAATCTGACAAAAGTCTAATATCCAGAATCTGTACCAAACTTCACAGGCAAAAAAACAACCACATTAAAAAGTGGGCAAAAGACATGAAAAGATACTTTTCAAAAGACATACATGTGTCCAACAAGCATATGAAAAAAGGCTCAACATCACTAATCATTAGAGAAATGCAAATCAAAACCACAATTAAATATCATCTCACACCAGTCATAATGGCTATTATTTAAAGCCAAAAAATAACAAATGCCAGCAAGGGTGCAGAGAAACAGAATGCTTATACACTGCTGGTGGGAGTGTAAGTTCATTCAGCCATTGTGAAAAGCAGCGTGGTTTCCTCAAAACTCAAACTGGAGTTACTGCCCTACCCAGAAATCTCATAATTGAGTATATTCCCAAAGGAATAAAAATGGTTCTATTATACCATAAGGACACATGCATGTATATGTTCATTGCAGCACTATTCACAATAGCAAAGACACAGAATCAACCTAAATGCCCATTATTGGTAGACTGAATAAAAACAGTGTGGTTCATATACACCATGGAATATTACTCAGCCATAATAAACAACAGCAACATGGATAGAGATAAAGCAAACTAACACAGAAAAAGAAAACCAAATATTGCATGTTCCTACTTATAAGTGAGAGCCAAACATCAGGTATACGTGGACACAAAAGGGGTAAAAACACACAACCAGCCTACTTGAAGGTGGAGGGTGGGAGGAGGGAAAAGATGACCCAAAATACCCATTGGGTCCTATGCTTATTACCTGGGTGATAAAATAATCTGTATGCAAAACCCCCATGACAGGCAGCTTATCTATATAACAAACATGCATGTGTACCCCGAATCTAAAATAAAAATCAAAAAATAAAGAAATACAGGAACAATTTTATATGCTTATGACAGTTCTTTTTTCATGAGGTGCTACCTTGAGAAGTTTATCTTTTAGAAGGGAAAACTTCCAGAGGATAAGGGTTCTTATTTCTTTTTTTTTTAATTAGGGTATTTCTAGCTCTTAAAACAGCGAACAGCCAATATTAGCCATATACCAAATAATTTTCAATTAATTTAAAATAAAAAGCCCCACATATTTTTTGAGTTCATTTATAACAATTATTTACTTATAAATGTGACCTAAAAATATACAGAATTATGAATAGTTTATGCTTGTAAACATATACAGAATTAAAACTAAAATCTATAGAGAAAAAAATCAACAACTGTATGTAAATATTTTGCATTATAGCTTATCTTCTTTGAACAGAAGTTTTTTTCTGAAACAAAGGTAAACATTACATAAATTTGATGTGTTCTGTTATAATCTTGAGTTAGAATTTATTATTAAATACAGAACTAAAAATTAAAAGTATGCATATTCATGTATTTACAGTATTCAATATGATTGTTTTGACTTGAATATTATCATTGTACACAGTTCTCTATTTTGTCAGGACAGACAATTTCAAAATGAATCTCAAAATGTAATGCCAAAGGAAATAGATCGTGAAAAGACTTCTTTGCTTTCTGACAATTATGCTTAATACTATTGAACTGTTGGAAGCTGATGTATACCTATCAAGTTCCTACTGCAATTAAATATGTTACTGGCTCAATATTAAATCTTGCTTTATTTTTTCTTATAAGTAAAAAACTATTACATAAATTGATTCTTTAGATTATAATGTTATTTTTGTGACATATCAAAGATAATATATAACCAAGAAATAAATTCATTGTCTGTAAAGATGAATTTTTATAGTTAATTTTTTGCCATAAAATATACCTCAATTGATTAAATATTTTGATACAAGAAAATGTTGGAGGAAAATTAACTCATGGCTACATCATTCCAATTATATGTGCATACCTGTACGTTAACACTTAAACTTTCCTTCAGTACTGTCACAAAGTGACCTTTAATGTTTTAAATTATTTTTTAATTACAAAATATGACATGTAAAAATATTCTAAAAGTGGCCAGGTTACAGAGATGTAATAAACAAATATGCATGGATTGTTAGCTACAAGCAAGCTTAAGAAAATCACACAGAATCAGAGCAATTAAAAGTTATTGTGAGATGCCCTGTCATATCTTTCTCCCTTTACAAAATAGATATGTAATATCTAGGTACATATATTCTTTAGTTCAATTCTTTTAAATATTTGTATGAATGTACTTTGATATATATAAATATATATATTTCATTCTAAATATATTCATTGAAACTTTTTAATACACATTCCTTTTAATTAGCGTAGCTTTATGTTTTTTCATGGTCATACAGAAATAATGAATACTGTATTCATCTACTTAAATTTTCATGGGCAGAATTTTTTGCTATTGCAAATGAAGATGTCACGTGAATACCACCAGGTATATTTTTAGATATATAAATGGAGTACAATAGCTTTACTTACATTATGAGCATGTTCAGAATTATTTGTTAATGCCTAGTTGTTTCCTAAGGTTTTGGGGTTGTTATTTTTTAATTTACTTTGGTTTAACATCCTTACAATACTTGTTTTATCCTCTTGGTATACTGAATCTTGCATCATTGTGTGCGATTTTACTTAATTTTTTTGCCTTATGCATATTATTGTCCAATAAGATATTACCTAGTCTTCTCTGGGTACGTATCTGCTTGGAATATGCCTATCTTTCACTTTACTTTCAACAAACAGTTGGCTTATATTTAGGTATGTGTCTTCTGAATGGCCTACAATGAAATATTTGAGTTTTTTATGAAGTTTGAGACTGAATGACTTTGAACTGGGAGTTAATATGTTTACTTTTTAGTATTTTTTTCTTCTTCTGGATTATTTCTATCATCTTATTTTTTGCTGTCTCTTTGCTCTGCTTTTCTATATTCATTGTTCCTTCATTCTTGCCTTTATTTATTTGAATTGTGTATATTTTCCTCTTTTCATTATTTTCCCTAAAGTTGTTCAGATGTCTTTCGTGTATTTCTAAATATTAGTGGCAAATTTGAAAATATAATTTAACTTAATAACTCTAAATTGCATTTAATAAATAATTTTGTTCACATACATCAATGCAAATGTAGCTATTTCTTGAAATTATTTGGCTATAAAATGGTTATTGAGATGAATATAAACACACTTCCTTTATTCCATTTAGATAATTATAGATAAAAACATGTTTGTGGCTAATTTTTAGTTTTACATTAAAAGAAAAATCCGTGTGTGTGTGTGTGTGTGTGTGTGTGTGTCGCCCAGGCTGAAGTGCGGTGGTGCAATCTCCATTCCCTGCAACCTCCACCTCCTGGGTTCAAGCGATTCTCCTGCCTCAGCCTCCCGAGTAGCTGGGATTACAGGCATGTGCCACCATGCCCAGCTAATTTTTGTATTTTTAGTTGAGACAGCGTTTCACCATGTTGGCCAGACTGATCTCAAACCTCTGACCTCAGGTGATCCGCCCATCTCAGCCTCCCAAAGTGTTAGGATAACAGGCATGAGCCACCGCGCCCGGCAAAAGAAAGATCTTGAGCTGGAAAATTAAAATATTTGTTAAGTAATCTAAATAAAAATACACCTTATAGGTAGTTGTTTATGGATGTAAAGGAATATTTTCAATGATAGGTTTTATTGGCAAAAAATAATATATTGAGTTAGGTTAAGATGAATACTAACCAGCAGAAAAATGTTATTTGAACACCAGAATACTTGGAAATGTAGATACATAAATAATTTTGACAGCTTGATAAAATATAGAGGAAATGGACTGAAGTTTCACAAAAGCTTGAGTGAAGTGGTTAATTACAGATATTAAAGTAGAAAGCATCTGAACTTTGAGCATGAAAAATTATTGGAAGTGGTTCCTGTTTATATTTTTCACAAAAGATGACATTACAAAATTTATATATAGCCCTAGTCTTCATGAATTCATATAACTTTATCTAGTCTCCTAATCATCTCATATTCATGCAGGAAAATAAGGAATGAGAGTGTTGCTCAATATTCTCTGGTCTTTCACAATTAGTTGGTTTAAATTTACAATGATTATGACAGTTTTCTTCTTCTGTTGCCCTTAATATTACTGCAATGCTGACATAATAAATGTCACCAAAATCTCAACCACTTAATATGATAAAAGTTTCTTTTTTTCTTATGGAAGGTCTGCTTTGAAAACATCAGGACATCTGCAATGCAGCCGTAGTCCTTGTGGTAATTTAGCACTTCAAACAGCTTCAAATTTCACATCTCTCACTGCATTTGTGTTCTGTTTGTTCATTTCTGCATTTGTGATTGATACAGGGCTTATCAAAAGTCTGGGCCTAATTCAACACCAGGAAATATAATCAGCTCATGTGCTTAGACTGAGAGAAGAAGACAGAATAGTAGAATACTAAAAATGTCCTATCCTTTGCTGCCACCAAAGAGCTTCAAGTCCATTTCAAAATAACACATGCTTATCACGTTTAAACAGAATGTTACCTTTCACATTATACTCCCTAGTGATAGCCACAAATTACAGGTCAACGAATTTTTAAACTGTGATGCCTCAGAAGTAAAGACATCTAACTGCTTTATATTTATTTATTCTATTAGTCACATTGGTAGGTCTGCATAATAGGCTTATATTACTATTTCTTGATAGATCAACTTTCAGGGTATTGATTGAATTTATTTTCAAAGTATTCCAGCAGATAACTTTAGGGCTCCTTGCAATGCTCTAAAATACCTATTTCTTTTTAGCCATAAAGAATGTTTCTCTCTTTCAAGGATGCTGCTTCATCTTCTGAACTACATTTTTTTCTAAATATTTTCTTTAAGGTGCTAAATCTTCATACTTTCAAATTATATTTTTCAACTATAGTGACGGCAGCCTTTATTTATTTATTTATTTATTTTTGAGACGGAGTCTCTCTCTGTCGCCCAGGCTGGAGTGCAGTGGCGCGATCTCAGTTCACTGGGCTCACTGCAAGCTCCACCTCCTGGTTTCACGCCACTCTCCTGAGTGGCAGCGTTTTATGGGTAAAGATTAATTAAAAACCTAATAATTAATGACAACATTTATAATACTATGAACATGTGAATGCCATACCAAATTGGAAGATTTGGAATGAGTAGAAAATAAATCTTATAAACGTACAGATAGCACTACTCAGGAATATTTAACTACCCAAAAATAGCCATAGGCTAGTAAACGAGAAAAATAAACTGTAGTTTACCACATTATAATGTTAGAAGTGTAATACTAATTTTATTTACTACCTTATATTGGCAATGTCTTTTTTGATACATTTTTATAAAAATCAGTCAACTTCCTAACAACATTATTTAGGAAATCACATTAATTTCTTCTTAGACATTGGACACAATTGAATCCCTCATGTAACTTGGACCTATGGATTCTGAACCTTATTGAATAGTAATTATCCCTGAATAACTTCAACTGAACCCTTGGCTAGTTCCCTTGTTTCCTTGACATTTTTTCAGATATTATTTTTTTCTATTTTTTTAGCATATTCTCTAATTACTTAATCCTTAGAGCATATGCAGGTGGTAAAAATCATAAGTTATTGTTTTCCATAAATATGTTATTCATATATCATGGTTGGTGATATGAATGGGGTATAAAATTATAAGTTTAACTATTTTCTTTTACAAAATTGAAGGCATTGCTTCATTTCTTCTATTATGTGAACATATGAAAAGCTTTATGGCAATCGGATTATTGTTTTACTTTGTAAGTATGCCTTTCTTTCTAGAAGCATTTCAGTTTTTCATTCCATCTCTGATACTTTAAATTTCACCCACCCACCCACACACACAAGTGTATGCATTTTGGCCTCTTTCAGTTCAAACTACTTGGCAAATAGATGCTTTCTAGTTGAGGATATAACTTTGTTTAATGAGTATTTTCTGCTATTGTTTTTCAATATTTCCCCATTTATATTCTCTAGTTAAAATAGTAAGTGAGTTTGGACTGTTGAAACGGTCCTTATTTATTTAACTTTTATTTTCTGTTTGCCTTTTATTTGTCTTTGTCTTAGATTATTCAGAATTCTTCCAAATGCCCTTCTGCTATTTAGTGATTATTTTCTAGGTTTATTACTCATATATATTTACACACTCTTTCTCCTTGTCTAAATGGTCCTTTTTAAACAGTCAGACTTTGTTTTATGGATGCAAATTTCTTTTTAGTTTACACTACACTAATTTTAAAATATTGACAATTTTGTTTTTTCTGTTCTCTGGTTTATTTTTTTTTTCTCTAAGGTTTCTTGTACATTTCCATTATCTTGAATTTTTTATTTGAAAACTAGAAATCTTAAATTTTCTGGAAAATTCTTTAAAAATTTACTTATGTCGGAAAATGATTTTAATTTTTGAAAAATATGTATCAAAAATGGAAGGACATTTTATAGAAGAAATCTTTCTTTACAATTTAAAATGATACATATGTCTATATAGATTCATATATTTATATTTCTGTACCTATAAATTCTTGCTGATAATAATCAACTTTTGTTCTACTCTAGTCTGGTCTGTAGCCATCTTCATTTGTGTGTATATGTGTGTGCACCTATATGGTATTCTAACCCTTTTAATATATCATAACAGTTCTTTGTTTTTGTGTTGTTTGTGTTTATGTCTCTTTCTTTTTACATCTTAAAGTTAGTGGTAGGCAAAGAAGTCACAAAACACTTTATATCTTTTGCATCAAAGGTAAATGTGTACATTACATTTCTGTAATATATTTCTCACGTTTACCAAGATGTTTTTTCAAATAAATTTCTTCAAGATTTTTTTCATTTAAGTTGACACAAGTGTCCCTAGAATAGTAGCCCTGATAAGTCAATTCTTTTATCTTGCAACTGCATCAAATTCACATTGTGGCATTCAGGTCCCCAGAGATTGTTGTCTTCATGCTGGAACAGAGAAAATAGATACAGAATAAAATATTGTAAAGGTCCAAGACAGAAGTGAGGCAGATAAAATAGATCAGACAGGAAAAAAATACTTTATTCTCTAAGGTTATAATGGTTACTTTTTTTACTTTTTTAGTTAAAAAAAGTAGAATTATCTGTCATAGAAAGGAGAAATTCATTAAATGTATCAGGACATGATATATTATAGAATTATTCCATATTAATTCCAATCATGGTATCTGTATTCTGTTTTCCTCACTTGTTCTGTCTGTCTGATTTTAACCTATTTGCTGCTGACCACCAATTCTTCTAAATGCTGCTTAATGTGAGTTTAAGAGATCAATTCAGTTTCTAGTGGTCAGCAGTATCCTAAGCCTCTGTACTCAGTCCTGGTAACTTAATCAAAAAGAGGTAAAAATATAGATTGTATTTTATATACATAGCAGTGAAGTATGAAGTGTCAGATTTTGGGGATGTTGGGCCAGTTGTTCCAGTGACATGGTTATATCACTTAAAAGTAATGTGAGAGAGGTTTGGGAAGATGGCAGGGCAGGAATCATCGGGAATCTGGTTCCCCATCTAGACAAAAATTGTACTTGAAGAATCTGTGTAATATAACTATTTCAGAACTCTGGTATTTACTGAAGGCTTGCAACTTCCAGGGGGATTCTTGGGCAATAAATTGTGATTAATTGTGGTCAATTTCAGCTCTTCACTGAAAGCAGCTACCCACTTAGCAGCTCCCACTCCACACACCCAGCTCTGTTGCCATGCACGTGTTCTAGGAGCAGGTTGCATGCAGCTTGGGAAAACCAGGGTGAACAAAAACGACCATGTTCTCCAAATATCTTGGGTCTGTGTTGGACTATTGAGTGCTGCTTCTGATCACAGTGATGCAGACAAAGATATAGCAGATGGCCTTTGTTTTCTTTCCTCCCCACATTGTTGCAAGCTCCTCTCCAGCTGAAGCGATTTCCAGGAGATTTAAAGGGCCAGCGCGTCCCCCAGCCCCTCCTATGTTTTTCTGTTTTTCCCTTCTCGGGATCCAGATATTAAAGACTAGAACATTCAAAAGCAATTGCACATATGGAAGAAATTAGAAAATGAAATCATAGAACATGCCAATGGTAAGGTACAGGCTTAGAAAAGACCTGAGAAGACCTTAAGTTTACATCTCAGCCTGATCGTTGGCATAGGGACAGCTACAACAGCCTACAGAGTTGTTACAACTAGACCTGCCCTGCAAGAAATGCTCATGCAAGTCCCGCATGTTGAAATGAAAGGGCACAGACAGTAACTAGAAGCCATATGAGGAAATAAAGATCTAAGTAAAGGTAAATACATGGGAAGTTATAAAAAAAAAAAAAAAAAGAATGGGCCAGGTGCAGTGGCTCACGCCTGTAATCCCAGTGAGAGGTGACAACGTGCTAGCAGCCCTCGCTCACTCTCAGCACCTCCTCAGGCCTGGGTGTCCACTCTGGCTGCACTTGAGGAGCCCTTCAGCCCACAGCTGCACTGTGGGAGCCCCTCTCTGGGCTGGCTGAGGCTGGAGCTGGCTCCCTCTGCTTGCTGGGAGGTGTGGAGGGAGAAGAGCAGGCGGGAGCCAGGGCTGCGCGTGGTGCTCGCAGGCCAGCCTGAGTTCCAGGTGGCCACGGGCTCAGCAGGCCCCGCACTTGGAGCCGCGGGCCAGCGCCACTGGCCCTGGGCAGTGAGGGGCTTAGCACCCAGGCCAGCAGCTGCGGAGGGTGCCCCGGGTCCGCTGACACTGCTGGCCAGCCCGTGCGGTGCTTGAATTCTCGCTGGGCCTCAACCGCCTCCCCGTGGGGCAGGGCTTGGGACCTGCAGCCCGCCGTGCCTGAGCCCCCCTGCAGTGGGCTCCTGTGGCCTGAGCATCTCCGACAGGTGCTGCACCCTGCTCCGTGGTGCCCGGTCCCATTGATTGCCCAAGGGCTAAGGAGTGCACGTGTCATGGGACTGGCGGGCAGCTCCGCCGGCAGCCCTGGCACAGGATCCACTAGGCGAAGCCAGCTGGGCTCCTGAATGGGGTGGGGACTTGGAGAACTTTTGTGTCTAGCTAAAGGTTTGTAAGTGCACCAGTCAGCACTCTGTGTCTAGCTAAAGGTTTGTAAACACACCAATCAGCACCCTGTGTCTAGCTCAAGGTTTGTAAATGCACCAATCAGTGCTCTGTGTCTAGCTAATCTAGTGGGGACTTGGAGAACCTTTATGTCTAGCTACAGGATTGTAAATGCACCAATCAGCACTCTGTGTCTAGCTCAGGGTTTGTAAACGCATCAATCAGCACCCTGTCAAAACGGACCAATCAGCTCTCTGTAAAATGGACCAATCAGCAGGATGTGGGTAGGGCCAGATAAAGGGAAAAAGCAGGCTTCCGGAGCCAGTAGTGGCAACCCGCTTGGGTCCCCTTCTGTGCGGTGGAAGCTTTATTCTTTTGCTCTTGGCAATAAATCTTGCTGCTGCTCACTCTTTGGGTCCATGCCGCCTTTATGAGCTGTAACACTCACCAAGAAGGTCTGCAGCTTCACTCCTGAAGCCAGCGGGATGACAAACCCACCGGAAGGAAGGAACAACTCCAGACGCCCGCCTTTAAGAGCTGTAACACTCACAGCGAAGGTCTGCAGCTTCACTCCTGAAGTCAGCGACATGTCCCAACATCAGAAGGAAGAGACTCCAGACACACCATCTATAAGAACTGTAACACTCACTGCGAGGGTCCGTGGCTTCATTCCTGGTCAGTGAGACCAAGAACCCACCAATTCCGGACACACCAGCACTTTGGGAGGCCGAGGCGGGCAGATTACGAGGTCAGGAGAGCGAGACCATCCTTGCTAATATGGTGAAACCCCGTCTCTACTAAAAATACAAAAAAATTATCCTGGGCGTGGTGGCGGGTGCCTGTAGTCCCAGCTACTCTGGAGGCTGAGGCAGGAGAATGGCATGAACCTGGGAGACGGAGCTTGCAGTGAGCCCAGATCGCACCACTGCACTCCAGCCTGGGCGACGGAGCTAGACTCCGTATTTATTTAAAAAAAAAAAATGAATTTTTGTTCAAGTTCTGACAGGTACTAGAGTAGGAGCGTGTCACTTTAGCCCAGTCTTTAATTTAGCTGAGTGAAAACAAGGTTTCAACCTCCTTAAAGTCTGAACTATTTTCAGTTTACTCTTATTCTTAAGGGTCTTCCTTAACAGAGCCACCTGTATTTTTCTGAGACATATTCCTGTTCCCAAGGCCTTTATTTTGTTTATTCTAAATTCTATTTTCTGTCTAGCTGTGTGAGAGTGCAACTAAAATTGCATTTAGTTTCATCTTAGGTGCTTCTCAGTCTGCATTGCTTAGGTTTTAAGAAGAAATATAAAAAATCTTGGGTCACCTTTTATCTGGAACCTTGATTTCTCAATCACTAGCTGCCTTGATAGCTCTCTAATGCTTTCAAGGACATCAGCATTTGCTTCTTTCTTCATTTTTTTTTGTTGTTACTCTCAGTAAAAAGAATGCATTATTGCAAGGTAGTTCATAGTAGGTAGAGGTGGAAGGAACTTCGTAAGGACTTTCTTAAAATCAATACCTGTGTTTAAAGGGTGGCTTCAGTTACCAAGAGAGAAGACTGACTGAGCATATCATTCAGCAATGCCAAAAAGTGTATTTTTAAGTATTCATTATGATAATTTCTTTGATTTAAGCAGTGTTGAGAAGTACATCTATTGCCCTATTGGTAGTAAATCAAGACGGAAATAAATATTTCAGAGGCAGAGTAATCAGAAAGGAAAGCTAAATATCTGGGTATGGGCACTCTGCTCTGTTTCCTCCATATTGATTAGAAAATTGGTCATTATTAATGGCCATTAGTAATCATGTTTAAGTATTTTGCATATATTAACACATTTATTAACCTTTATAATCATCTTATGAGATACGTTGTATGATTTTCTTATTTCTACAGGTAAGAAAACTGGACTACATCATACATTAATAGTTCAAGATCACATCTCTGATAAGTGTTGATGCTTGAATTTAAACAGAGCAAACTGAACTTAAAGTTTGCCTTACTTCATGACTATTTTGTCTCTTTTCTCATTAAGTTATAAGGGAGAAAACATGGACTTTTGCCACTGTAATGAACTTTATCACTTTGTTTGTCCTTTTGATTTCTAATGCTGTACTTGCAAATTTTGTCATGGGATAAAAAAGTTGCATATTGCAAAGTTCTTTACTCAGCAACTCTTATATATACTGGATGATATGTGAACTAAGAAAACTACCATAGTTTCATATCTCTGGATAGGACTGCATAATATCATTATTTTAATGCTATAACTTTTGTCTCATTCAGTAATCTGATTTATACTCTGGCATTAATTTGTTCCATTTTATTTCAAATCTCTTGAAGTATCGTTTGTAAAGTGATCTTTTGCGGTGCTCTCTTTCATTTAGCATTCAACTGGATTATTGTGAATTAAATATTCAATTAATGTAACAAGGTTATTTTAATATTGCTAAATGTCTTTCATTTTTATTTATTTTGATACAGAAGTGTCCAAATTAAGTTCATTCTACATTAATATTAAAAAGTAAGGTTTATATATATATCACACTACATATGATACTACAGCTGATTCTGCCTCATAACTGAATTATATATTAAAGGTGATTTGTATATGCCACCATTATAACACAACCAGGTCCTTTTGGGCTTTATTGTAAAGTGCATAGATGTTTATAATTGCTATAACTTCCTGATGAATGAGCTCCATTATTATTACATGACCTTCTTTCTCTTTATTAATAATTTTCTTCTTACAGTCTATTTTACATAATGTTAGTATAGCCACCCAGCTCTCTTTTGATTACTGTTTTCATGGTATACCTTTTCCCATTCTTTTACTTTCAAATTATTTGTGTCTTTGGAGTAAAATATGCCTCTTTTAGACAGCGTGTTGATAGATCATATTTTATTTTTTAATCAAACCTTCCAATTTCTGTTTAATTGAACGGCTTGATCAATTTATCTTCTATATTATTACTAATAAAGAAGATTTATGTTTGCCTTTTTTCTATTTAGTTTTTATATGTCTTATGTTTCGGTTTTCATTTTTCTATTTCTTCATACTGCCTTCTCTGGAGTTAAACAGATGTTTTCTACATACCATTTGAATTATCTTGTTGGTACTTCTATATTCTTGAGTTACCATTATCATTATTATTATTTTTAGTGATTACCCTGGGTGTTAAAATGAGCATCTTAAGACAATCTAGTTATGAATAACACCAGCTACAAGTGAGAGACAGAGGTAGAGGCTGGTTAGGCAGATAGAGAGGGAGGATCTTGGAAGTGGAAAAATACCCATGGGACCACATCTGCACAGCCCCCGTAGCTAATGGAAAGAAATGTGTTCAAGAATTTCCTCTTACGCCAGGATGTCTGCTCAGAAGGGACTGCCCCAACTTAGGTGCAGGTACAATAAATTAACCTAAATGTCCTTAACTTGACCTGGCTGATTATAATGTCACTAACATAAAAAATAGCATTGTCGTTTTATCCCCCTCTTGAGTTTCCCTAAGGCACTTGTGAGTAATAACCAAGATGGAGCCAATCTGGTCAACCCCAGGCATGTGCATATTGCAACACCCTTAGGAGGGAATTTCACCTCTCCCATTTTGTGCAGAACCCAGAGAGGACTTTCTTGCTCTTGCCACAGAAAATACCCAGAACTCAGCCCCATTTTGGGCAACGTGCTTTCAGGCCTCCTCTCTTTGCTGAGAGCTTTACTTTTCTAAAAAATCCTATTCTACTCACTCTCCGGTGTCCATGTGCCTTATTCTTCTTGGTCATGGAACAAGAAGAACTTGAACCTAGCTGAACAAAAGATTAAGCAGACTGCAACATTTTGGGGGCTTGTCTGGAATCAGGAAAGGTGAGTAGGAACAGACCTCTAACTTTTTACTTTCATTTCTGAGGCTTCTCATTCTCAGTTTATTTATTTATTTTGTTCTATTTTTTATTTTTTTTCTGCAGATCAAATAAAACACTGGGCTTCTGTTGGCAAGTTAAGAACAAATGACATGGCTGCCAGACTTAAGACTCAGAGAACAGGCTTGATGGGGAGGACATTGTCAATACCCCATCACTCTTGGGTGTTGGGAACATTGGCTCTGTTCCAATCCAATTTCTCTTTACAGAGGTCTGGTTATCGCTGTGGGATCAGAAGGAGGTCCTGGGGCAAATGAGGGTATCTGGCTAAGCCTACATCTTGGCGTTACCCAGAGGCCCTTGAATTGACCCAGAACCCAACAGCCTGTTAGAGTGTTTACTGAGAATATCCGGTCTTCTATCGCATTTTCTTTCTTTCGTGGCTATCATGGCTCTTATTTCTTCTTTGTATGCAGTGTTGCAGGTGTTTTTGCAAACTTGAGATATAATTTTGTTGGGTATAGTCAGCAAATGCATTAGTAACCAGAAATGCAACTCAAATAATTGTTGTCTTTGTAATTTTCTGGAGATGGGGATTTCAAAATCTAGATCCAAAGGCTTCTTTATCCCCTAATGATAGCACCCAATGGCATTGCACAGGGATGGTTTCTCCCCAAGTCAGTATCCTCTCCATTTAAGCTGTTTCTTTTTCCCTGTGAGGGCTCAGCACTGCCCAGCGAATTTGGATAGCCCTTCTATGAGGCAAATTACTTTTCTCCTCTTAGGAGGCTTATTTTGGGGGTCCCCTCAAAGCCCCAGATTTCTCTTTTGAATCTCTGTCTGAAAAAGATTTGGACACGAAGTTACAGGCTAACATTGCAAACCTTATCAAAGTGCCCGAAGAGATAAGGATTTGTTTTTGTGGGGAGCCTTATCAGCCCTATGTCCAGGGGAGCCCTAATTCCTCACTACAATTGCAGGAAATGAGCCAAACCAACTCCTTCATTTTCTAAGATACCTGTTCTGCCTCTGAGTATAAGGACTCCTGGATGGGAAGACGGGGCTGTGTTTGGAGGTTAATCACTCCCATTTCCTCGAATTCTGTGATCTGGCTCTGTTCATTACCTATCAGTCAAGGAATGCTCTAAAAGATTTAAGGCCAACACCTCCATTAGAGTTCCTTGCCCAAATTAGATTACTTGAATGTATTTTCCAAGCTCCAGTTTGGAAAATCAAAAGAAGAAATAGATCTGAGGGACCCCAAAGATCATTGACACCAGAGGGCGGGGACACACCATAGGTAAGTATGACTGTTCCTACTTGTCAACCCTCCTGGTCTGTGATTTGAAGTCACACTTGCATCCATGGATGGCACCTATGAAAGGCTCCGGGATCCAGAGAATACTGAGAGGGAAAGAGGAGACAGGGGACATCTTTTCTCTCTCTCTCTCTGTCTCTCTCCCTCCATCTCAGGTCACCCCAAAAGTGGGAGGGAGACTAAGGGACACCTTTTCTCTCCTCTCTCTTTACAGATGAATAACAACCTATCTTCAGCCTGGAATCACGTCAAGTGCAGCCTGGATCACTGGGACTCCTTTAACCCTCAGATTCTAAAATTTTCTCTGAGAAAGCCCCAACTTCATTCATGTATAGAGGCCTTCCAGAATTTAACAGAAGTATTTGAGCTCTCCTGGAAGGATAATAGGTTACTCTTAAATCAAACCCTGACCACTACTGAGAAATAGGCAGCCCAGCAAACAGCAAAGAAATTCGGAGATGAGCTTTGTATCTCATAGTGCCACAGAGTGGGAAGAGCCTTATCCAATTGGAAAGACAGCAGTACCACTTGAGGACCTAAATGGGACCCCAGTGATAACATAGGAGATGCACAAATTGGAAGGCCTACAAAGAACTAGAATTAGGACCAGATGAGAATACCTTTGCCTTTCTAGAAAGGATAAGAAGAGGCCTTGGTGAGGTGTACCTCGCTATCTCCTGATTCAGTTGAGAAACAACTAATTCTGAAGAATAAGTTTATTACTCAGGCAGCTCCTGATATCAGGAGGAAGCTGCAAAAGCAAGCCATATAACCAGATAGCACTTTAGGAAACCTCCCGGAGATGGCCACCTTGGTTTTTACAATAAAGATCTGGAGGAGGCTCAAGAGAAAGAGAGAAAGCATAAGAAAGAAGCAGAGGGTCTATTGGCAATTCTTCAGGCCTGTAAAACCCAGGATTCCTGAGGGGCACCTGTTAACTGACACAAGTGCGGCAAATCAGGGCACTTTGAGGATTGCCCAGGTAGCAAGAGGAAGCTACCCCGACCCTGTCCAGCCTGTGATGGAGACCACTGGAAGGAAGACTGTTCCTGGAGTTGTAGGTCACCGGGTGCAGAACCAGTCTTAGAAACGGCCCAGCAGGACTGAGGGGTCCTGGGGCTCGACTCCCCAGCTCCCATAGCTCAGACTCTCATTACCATTCAGGAGCCCCTGGTAATTCTAGAGGTTGAAGGGAGGAAGTTGAACATTTTTCTGGATACTGGAGTCAGCATTTTTTTTCTCCTCTGCAATCCAGGCCTCCCCTCCTCCTTTTAGCACCACCATGAGGAACATCTCAGGAAAGTCTTTTACTCAATATTTTCCCCTCAGCTATAACTAGGAAAACCTCTTGTTTAACTCATGCCTTTTAGTCATACATAAACGCTCAGGTCCTCTGCTAGACGGAAGTACTCTAGCTTATATGGAAACCATGGTTCCAGGACAGAACCTCTGCCTCCCTCTGGTAGAGACTGACGCTGATCCAGAGGTTTGAAACTCAAGGCTCTGCACACCAAGAACTAGCCAACAGCCTAAAAACAGACCAGGAAATAAGATATTTAGATACATCTTTCCAGGCTCAAGCCTACAATACCTAAAGCTCTGGACCTGGAACTTGAGGCTCTCATCAGCCACTGCAACAGTAAACCTGTGGAAGACCTGAAATTCCTGTTTAAAAGACAGCCACAAGATAAGTAAATGCCTACCAGCTTCCTTTGGTAACTTTGTTACATAGTTACTATAGACTATAGCAGCCATTTTCATATTTTTGCTGGTTTCTAATCTTATTGATCCTTTGGGAGAGGTCAATTGCATTTGGAATCAGACCTCCCAACATCCATTTAAAAATTAGGGTTGTACCTCCCCATAGATAAGACGCTCTTTGATATTCTTCTCATAATGTTGCCTATTTTTACTGCTCTTGCTTTTGTTTTGCTCCTTATCATAAAACAACTTTGTCAAGGACCCCTTCACCTGGAACGCCCATGGGATTATCTACTTTTCTAAGTAGTTATGTCTCTTCTAGAATTTAGTGATTTTCACAAGAGTGAAACAGCTCTAGCCACATTTCTTTCAAAGTGATTAGCCTATTTTACCTCTTATTCCTGTATTTTTCCCTTCCTAGCTGTTCTTATATAGCACTTGTATTTGTTCTAAGCATATGTAAACTTCTTAGGTAAGTAATTTTTACCTCTGCTTATATTATGAATTGCTTTTTTATATTGGCTTTTTAAATAATATTGCAAGGTAGGAAATGGAAATTACCTATTCCAGCTATCTCTGGCTAGAGCAAAAGCTCAGAATCAGTAATTGTTGGATATGCCATGAATCTCCTGAAATGTCCACACAATACTTATACAAATTTAAACCCATAACCAATTTGTCAGCTCTACCACCCTTACATGAAGGCACCAAAAACTCCAGGGTAGCCACAGTGCTTCTTCAGTCCTTTTGTTTCAGCCCTTCCATTTATACTATCTATAAGGAGCCCTCCACTGGGAATGCGGACCTCCCTCAAACAATATATATACACTCCCTCCAGAACAACGCAAATTATACATGTAGTAAAGAACTAAACTTTACTATTACAACATTTACCTTTGAGAGTACACTTTGTACTTCTGGCACATTTACAAGAAATAGTTTCATAAGCCAGATGCAATTAACAGAAACCCCTCATTTTCCTAAATGTTTCCAACTCTTTCATGAAAATGCAACAATAGTCCCAGAAATCCAAACATTTAGATGATGGGTTTGGTACAAAGATAGGGGGCCTACACCTCTATAAGAAAGGATTTCCTCAGTACTCCTCAATACTCCGTGTTTCCACCTGAAGACAAACAACATGGAACACCATATGTCAAGCAGCAGGGACCTTTACTTACAATTGTTATTCTTCCCAAGCTTTTGCTTATCAAATGTATAATGGAATTAGAGGTTTTGAAATGTGTCAGAACAAGGAAGTTTGGACAGTTAATGCCTACCTTCAATATACGTGGACAGATTCAATTGATGCCACTTTAACAAAGCACTCTGACTTACAAAAGGCCAGAGCGTGGGCTGGCACTTCTTGGGATCATTTAGGCAGATGTTTGCTGTAAGGGCAGGGCCCCCATGAAGAAACTCAGCTAGGGCCATGCAGAAGGGAAATGTGGGGTTGGAGCCCCCACGGAGAATTCCCACTGGGGCACTGCCTAGTGGAGCCGTGAGAAGAGGGCCACCGTCCTCTAGATCGCAGAATGGTAGATCCACTGATAGCTTGCAACGTGCACTTGGAAAAGCTGTATTCAATGCCAGCCTGTAAAAGCAGCAGGGACGGAGGCTGTACCCTGCAAGGCCACAGGGGTAGAGCTGCCCAAGATCATGGTAGCCCACCTTTTGCATTAGCATTATCTGGATATAAAACATGGAGTCAAAGGAGATCATTTTGGAACTTTAAGACTCTTAAGTGGAAGGGACTTGCTTTGTCTCAGAGGAGACTTTGGACTTGGACTTTTGAGTAATGCTGGAATGAGTTAAGATTTTGGGGGACTGTTGGGAAGGCATTATTGTGTTTTGAAATGTGAGGACATGAGATTTGGTTAGGGGCCAGGGTGGATGATACGGTTAGGCTTTGTATCCTCACCCAAATCTCATCTTGAATTGTAGTTCCCATAATCCTCACTTGTCATGGGAGGGACCCAGCGGGAGGTAACTGAATCATGGGAATGGTTCCCCCATGCTGTTCTCATGGTAGTGAGTGAGTTCTCATGAGATCTGATGGTTTTATAAGCGTCTGGTATTTCCCCACCTGTTTTGCGCAGAACCCACAGAGGACTTCCTTGGTCTTGCCACATAAAATACCCAGAACTCAGTCCTATTTCTGGCAACCTGTTTTCTGGTCCCTTCTCTTTGGTGATAGCTTTCCTTTTGCTTAATAAATCCTACCCTACTCACACTCTGGTGTCTGCCTGCCTTATTCTTCTTGGTCCTCAGACAAGAATGCAGGCCTAGCTGAACTAGGGACTAAGTAGTTTACAACACAGTTGTTATGTGCTTTTATTTCATATAGCACCATCCTTTCCTTTTTATCTGCTTACTTCTATGCAAATTACATTATCATGGAATATAAATCCATCAATACTGTTTTATAATAATTGCTTTATGCAGTTATTATTTAAAACAGATAAATAAAAAGTTACAAATGAAAATATGATGATAGCCTATTTTACAAATTTAGTCTTATATAGCTAGTTTTACTGAAAGACTTTCCTTCCAATATGGATTTAGGTTACTGTTTGTTGTCCTTTTTTACTAACATTCTGGAATCACTTTAGTATTTTAATAGGAAAAATCTGTTAGTGTCAGCTTCTGCTTGATTTTGTTTCTCTGAGAATGTCTGATTTTTCTGTTTATTTTTGCTGAATACGCTATTTTTGGTTGATATCCTTTCCTTCAGCACTTCTAAACATTATTTTAACCACCATCTCTGGCCTCCATGATTTATGACATAAACTTACCTGTTAATCTTAATTAGTACCATTTCTATGTGGTAAGTCAATATTCTCTTGCCATTTTCAAGGTAGTTTGTCACTGACTTTTTAAAAATTTGACTATAGTGGATCCAAGGTAAATTTTCTTGTGTCTATTTTAATTGAATCTATTGAACTTCTTTGATAAGTGGTGATGTGGTTTGGCTGTGTCCCCACCCAAATCTCATCTTGAATTGTAGTTTCCATCATCCCCACATGTCATAGTAGAGACTCACTGGAAGGTAATTGAATCGGGGTGGGCATTTACCCCAGTGCTGCTGTTCTTGTGATAGTGAGTGAGTTCTCATGAGATCTGATGGTTTTATAAGGCACTTTCACCCTTTTGCTCAGCATTTCTTTTTGTTTCTGCCACGTGAAGAAGGACATGTTTGCTTCCCTTTCTACCATGATTGTAAGTTTCCTGAGGCCTCCCCAGCTATACTGAACTGTGAGTCAATTAAACCTCTTTCCTTTATAAATTACCCAGTCTCAGGTATGACTTTATTAACAGCATGAGAAAAGACTAGTGCATGTGGATTAACGTTATTATGTGGAAAATTTTGGCCATCATTACATCAAATATATATGTATTTCCTGCCATGTCCTCTTTGTTTTACCTGCTGGAACTCCTATCATGCATATGTTGACTGTTTGATAGTGTCCTATATGTTTAGTGAGATTGTGTCAATTTTTTAATTTCTTTTTTCTTTCTCAGACTCTACAAGCTGTATGGTATCCTCAGGTTCACTGATTCTCTTTTTTTCCAGGTCAAATCTGTTCTTCGCATTTACTAAACTTTGTACTTGTTTCTTTAATTTTCAACTCCAGGATTTATGTTTGCTTTTTACCTCCTTAATAATATTTCTTATTTATGAGACATATTGTCATATGTATTTAATAATTTACCCATGGGTTCTTTTATTTCTTATAATATATATTTAGTAGTTTTATTTATTAAAACCAAAATTCATGCTCCCTCAGGGATATTTTCATTGATTGCTCCTCCCCTCTCCCTTGTATACAGCATATTTTTCTATGTCTTTGTTAATATAGTAGTTTTGGTCAAAAGCTATTTATTTTAGACAATATATTGGAACAGCTTTAGTATCAGGTTCAATCTGCCTATGATTTGTTATTGTTGCTGGTTTTTACTGTTATTGTTATTTCTCTCATTCTTAAATAATTATTAGCAATTTTCCTGGACCAATTGTGTAGATCCTCCATTCTCTGCAATACTCAGACACTGAGGTCTTTGGCACCTTGTCTGTGTGTGACATAGAGGGATTGGATTCTTTTGTTTTGCTTTGTTTTGTTTTTGTATTTTTATGTCCAGTGTTATAGGGATCATTCCTGGCTCAGTATTCTTTACTGATCTGGCAATAATTTGTCAGAAGTTTTCCTTAATTGCCTTGACTGTATTCTTTACAGGATATCTGTGAGAAGGCAGAACTTCAAAATTTAGGAAGTTTTCAACAACTTTAAATTTCATTATTATTGTTATTATTATTATTATCTGCTTCTACTGGTCTTGAAGTCACCCAGAATGGAATTGCAGAGACTTTCTCTTTTATTCAAGTCTTTCCTGGAAATGTATATGGCATTCTCCACTCAAACAGATTTTTAGATCTCCAAGAATATATAGTTTTTCAAAGTTCTTTATGATTAACCACTTCTCTAGCATATTAATTTAAATATTGTATTTGTTCCGAGTCTTGTTTACCTCAATTAAAGTCAGTTCTTAGATAGCTAAATTGTTGCCATTAGATTTCTATCCCTTTTGTTAATTCTCTGTGGGTAGACTTTTGTTTGTTTTCCTAAGCTGAACACTAAGTCAAATCAAATGCTCAACACACCATGATAATGTATTTCCGGGAGCTGAAAGTCTGGGCAAAATATTGATTGTGCCTTGAAGGTAGTAACTTCACAATGGCTTCAAAATAGGTCAATCTTCTCTGTTGATTGTAAGGCTGAAGACTTCTGGACTACTCAACAGGGAACTCAGGAGAGAGAGAAGGTGGGAATAGCCCTGAATCAAAACATCACAGGCTTCTTTTTCTTACTAAGGTTAAGATATTTCCACTGGATATATTATTTTCTTTCAGTTCATTCTGTGAATTTGCTCAATTTCCAGACTTCTCAGATGGTTAAAACTAGTTGTTTTGTCCATATTTCCATTTATTTTGTGGGTGAATTCATTTACCACAGCCCTTTTTTGTCATTCAGAAAGTCAGCCTTTTTCCTTCATTATTAAAAAATAGGTATGGTAATTTTTTCCCACGAAGTATTATACCATATACAGCAGTTTATTTAATGACAAAACCTTAAGCAAGATGAAGAGATAGACACAATAAAAGTTACCAATAAGAGAAGATTTTAACGTATGTCTACTTGTGCCACACATTCTCCTTTTTCTTATGCATACACATGAAGGTTAACATTTGTATGAAATTGACCATAAATCAGGTATAAATTAGAAAGATAGAAGGAAAAAAAGAAATTATAAATGCAATTCTTGAATACAAAATTTATGACAATCAGGCTTCCCCCCACTGACATGAAACATTGACTTCAGGGATACATTTCCATTGATTTTAGGCTGTCAAAAATGTTGTTTCTCAGTATGTGTGTAGGGCAAGTGTTTTTCAGTGACCAGGAGTCTTACTACTACAGAATCGATTACAGACATAGTATCTTTCTTTAGCTGCCCCAGTTATTGAACCATTCGTGGTCTCCAATTGCCAGCATATACAGATGGCTTTAGTGACATAAACCAGGTGTTAATTTTGTATAACTGAAGTTATACTGAAAAACCTTCCTGGTCAATAAAATCTCTATATTATGAGTTGCTAAGTTTCAAATGTAATTTTCAAGTACATGTATTTGAATTCACATTATTTAGACCTAATTTTGTTATCTCTATTTATCATTTTTTGCTGTGACCTCCTCCTAATATTGACTATAATAATTTTGAGTATTTTAACTATATGATTTTTTGTCATATTATCTACACAGTTGAAAAAAGTCAAATTGGACAAATAATTTGCATTTAGTTAGAATAATCTACTATAAATTTTGAATATTTTATTTATGAAGCTATACAGATATGCCAAATCAAATCAACTTTGATAACCCAATCATTATTTTTAAGAGATTTCCATATGTACAGAAATAATTTTTAAGAATCACTGGCTGAAGAAAGTGACATAATTGAAAGCATTATTTTGAGTCATATTTTCTGAGATTGTAGGATAACTTGGAAATGATTCTATAAAGTAATTTCAATATACTAATCATCTTTACAGTAGCAAAAGTGATCTTTGTTTAGAATATGTGGTACCAGTTATCATTGCTTTTTTTTCAGCTCCAAATTTGATCTTTCTATCTGTTCTTTGATAATGGAGCAGGACTTTCTAATATTTCTTCTTGGCCTTCCAGAAAATATCCTTGTTGACAGACAATACTGACAGGACATCAGGAGAGCAATTTTTTTTTTCTCTCCTGTTCTGGTATGCTCATCTAGCCGTGCCTTTGCAGGGTAAGTGGCTTTTTCCAACAGTAATCCTGCAGCCAGCAGCAAGTGGCAACTCCTTATGAACAACTTTGTGTAGAACACATACCTCTCTTTCACATAGTTTCTGGTGGTAGTTAGTGCTCCTGTGTAACATTTAGGATTGTAATTTCAGTTAAACTTCTATAATCAGCTATTGAGTTCCATGGACATCCCTGCTTCCTACTTAGCTATCAGCCTCAAAACACCCTTCTTGGGAGTCTTCATGGCAACTCTTTGGCAAGAAAATGAGTTCCATTACTGAATTTCAAACAAGTTAACCGCAGTCCCCACAAGGAGCTTAGTAGCTAATTTTCCAGCATTCCAGAGCTTATCATATTACCTTGCAGACTGTGGACCAGCTCTTGCTAGAGACTGTTAGCTAGCTTCTTCACCATCTTAAGGGGCTTCAACCACACCTTATCTAGTGAAATCTAAATCCCAGTCTTGGGGAGCATTTTTTTCTTCACAGATTATTTTTTCTTTTGGTACAGTCTTTATCTTTATGGCTTCCTTTATAATTTTTGTTTTGACAATTTCTTGTTATGTTAATTTCTTGCTAATAATTGTTTATATTAACATTTCTCATTGAATTATGTTACTTTATATTTATTGCACTTCGACTACTACAGAATTGATTACAGACATGGATCCTAGAGACTGGCCCACAGATATGAGATTTTGGGACTTGTTTTGTCATAAAATTTGGCTTGAGGGCAGTGCTGACCTCCTTACCAATAGGAAATAGAATGCTGGCAATATATTATATCACAAACAATCAAGTTTTCATGTGTGTTGTTTGTGATAAAGTGGCAACTGAAGTATATGTCTTGGGAGTCCAAAGGGCTATTACATTTTACCTTTACGGCAATCAGGATGACTATAAGGCTGCATTTGGAGTGGGCTCTTTTTAGTACACTTGACTGCTTACAGGGAAACACTGGCAAGTTCAGATAAATTAATTGTCAGATTAATTAAGTCACAGTGCAATAGCTGAAGATCTTTCATGACATCCCTAAAATAATCCAGTATTTCTTATAGCAACAGCTATATTGTATTTTTTAATACATTTTAATGATAGTAGCCACAGCTACTATTGCTGAAAATCAAATACAAAGATTGATTATGTGTATTATAGAATTAAAAGTACAGTTGAATTTACAGTCTCACAGAGTTTCTCCTGTGAAGTTAAGGGTATTGCATGGCAAGGAATCGGATCCTGAAAGTTGTTGGAGACAACTGGTGTGACTCAGATAAAACTGGCACTATGAACTTCCAAGTCCCTCTGAGACTCACTTATCAGTGGAAGTCCAGAAGTCTTTTAGTGTCTGAAGTGATTAGGTTTCCTTTGCTTGGAAGCCCTGTGATAACCTCAACTGGGGCAGATGTATTGAAAGAGGATAGCAATTTCCATTAAGACCCACCATAAGCTTGTTCTGTTTCTGCTAGATCCAACACTATGATAGAATTAGCATGCTCAAAGTGTACATGAGTTGAACCAAGAGAAAATAGCATACATAACAAAATTGATTGATAAATACATGAGTGAGAAGAGCTTCTGAATCCATAAAAATCTTTGTGGTTGCTCTCGTTTGTATGCAAGACTTACAAATCTCCTATGCCACCATTGAGATGGGCTCCCCAGTTTCAGTGGAGATTAAGAGAAATCCTAGAATAGAAGTGACAACACTAAATCACCAACACAGATGGGCAGAGGAACTGTAAAGGGCAACAGAGGTGCGCTGATACTCAGCATGCCTTGCCCCACAGTTATGCTTGAACATAGTGTCCCTGGAAATAAAATAGATGCACAGTCAACTACAGTAATGTTAGACATATATGGCAGAACACTATATATACGTATAAGCAAACAACAACTTAAGTTCTATTAGCCAAAAAACTTGATTTGAGGCGCCACAGTAGAGATTTGCAGATTCTTTACCAGGTTTCACACCTGAGTCAATTCACAGAATCAAAGACTCTTGATTGGAAGCAAGGTTGGGTTTTGCACTTTTGCCGTAATTTCACACTCTAAATCTTACTCTAAGTTTTCTCCAAAGGGACCTATGAATATTGCTAGAATGGCAGTCCATTGGAGAAAAACGAATACTCGGGCCCGGGTGTGGTGGCTCATGCCTGTAATCCCACCATCTTGGGAGGCCGAGGTGGGCAGATCACAAGGTCAGGAGTTCAAGACGAGACTGGGTAATATGGTGAAACCCCACCTCTACTAAAAATACAAAAATTAGCTGGGCATGGCGGCAGGTGCCTGTAGTCCCAGCTGCTTGGGAGGCTGAGACAAGAGAATGGCTTGAACCCGGGAGGTGGAGGTTGCAGTGAGCCGAGATCATGCCACTGCACTCTAGCCTGGGCGACAGAGAAAGACTCTGTCTCAAAAAAAAAAAAAAAAAAAAAAAAAAAAAAGGAAAGAAAAGAAAAGAAAATACTCCCTCTAAACATTCTGGGGTAACTACACACTAGCTCGGAATTAACATTGAAAACCGTGACTCAAACATGTCATTGAGGCTCACTAGCTAAAACAGTATCATAGGAAGACTAGGTTATGGTACAAATGTGAGATAACTTCTTAAAATACAGAATTGGTCTTACAGAGGCTTCTGTATAGTACTATCTCCCCCATAGAATACAAAATTCTGGAAATCAAGGAGAAATATTAGAAGTGACCTTTCTCAAGATTACACCTAATAACCAGTTTGTAGATTTTTTTTTTCTTTCTGTTCTGGCCACTTTGCGCTTTTCTTTTGCTGGTTTGAATGTCTTGGTTGCCAAAGAGAGAATTCTTACAGGACACAATAAGACTTTTATTGAACTTGAAGAAGAGACATAGCCATTTCCGGCTCTTTATGCCACTAAATCAACAGACAGAACACTCTACTTGCTGGAGTGATTGATTTTGATTACTAAGGGGAACAACACGTAAACAGCACGATGATAGGAACCCAGCGTATTCTTCTGGTGACTTAATTTTTCCATTCCAAGTAATAAAGGTAAAAGGAAAATTGCAACAAACAAGCAAGATATGAAGACTTTTGCCATCAAACAAGCAAGATATGAAGACTCAAACTAGTCTAGAATTCAGGTTTGAGTTACCCTGTTGGATAAAGAATCTCAGTCAGTTGATGCTTTTGAGAAATGTAAGGGAAATACCTAACAGATAGTTGAAAAAGAAGTCATAGCCGGGCGTGGTGGCTCATGCCTGTAATCCCAACACTGAGAGGCCAAGGCAGGTGGATCACCTGAGGTCGGGAGTTCGAAACCAGCCTGAACAACATGGAGAAACCCTGTCTCCACTAAAAATACAACATTAGCCAGGCATGGTGGTACATGTCTCTAATCCCAGCTACTTGGGAGGCTGAGGCAGGAGAATCGCTTGAACCCAGGAGGCAGAGTTTGCGGCAAGCTGCGATCATGCCATTGCACTCCAGCCTGGACAAGAGTGAAACTCCATCTCAAAAAAAAAAAAAAAGCCATAGATACTATATTTTTCAATTAAAGAAATAGAGACTATACTAGCTGTTCATATTCTTTGATTTCCATATTGATGTGTTTATTTGCATACAGTAATCATTTTTCTTCTCTCACTTCTTTCCATTTAAAAAGTAATAGAAAAGTCATTAAAGGGTGACTCTCAATTTAGAATTTAGGTGAAATGGGTTAGCACTGTAACAGAATTTGGGGCACCACAGCAAGTAGCCACAGCAATAACTACAATGCCTACTAAGACAGTGTATCTTTTTATTGTGAGAAAACAGTGAGGATGGCTGATATGATTTGGCTCTGTGTCCTCACCCAAATCTCATCATGAATTGTAATTCCCACGTGTCAAGGGAGGGACCTGTCATCCCCATGTGTAGAGGGAGGGAGGTGATTTGAGCATGGGGGTGGTTTCCTTCATGCTGTTCTCATGATAGTGAGTCAGTTCTCACAAGATATGATGGTTTTGTAAGTGTTTAGAAGTTCCTCCTTCTCGTCTCTCCTGCTACCTTGTGAAGTGGTTGCTTGCATTCTGTTCACCTTCTGCGATGATTGTAAGTTTCCTGAGGCTTCCCCAGCCATGTGGAACTGTAAGTCAATTAAACATCTTTCCTTTATAAATTATCCAGTCTAAGGTAGTACTTTTATAGTCATGTGAGAATGGACTAATAGAGTGGCTATAGCTTTTTAGGCAGAAGCCTAGACTTGTTTGTTAATGTAGAGAAGTTTAAATATGTATAGACTGGTACATATAGAAGCTGAGTAATTGAATAGCAAAAGGGGCTGTATTAGTTATTAACTGATGGACACTCTGCTTGGTTACAATGTACCTGCACCTTGTAAATATATATATATATATATATATATATATAATTTTACCAGCCAGCACAATGTTAAGCATTGACAGTCATGAATGCTAAAGGATTTTATTTTCCTGGTGATATGGTTTGGGTCTGTGTCCCTACCCAAATCTCACCTTGAATTGTAATTACCATAATCCGCACGTGTCGGTTGGGGGGACCAGGTGGAGGTAATTTGATCATGGGGGCAGTTTCCCCCAGGCTGTTTTCCTGATAATGAGCAAGTCTCACGAGATCTGATAGTTTTATAAGCATCTGGTATTTCCCCTGCTTGGACTCACTCCATCCTGCCTCCCTATGAAGAAGGTGTTTGCTTTTCCTTTGCCTTCTGCCATGATTGTAGTTTCCTGAAGCCTCCCCAGCAATATGAAACTGTGAGTCAATTACACCTCATATATATATAAAATTACCCAGTCACAGGTATTTCTCCACAGAGGCATGAGAATGGACTAATACATCTGGTTCCTATAGATGTGCTGTTTTAGCTGTGCTTCTAGTCTATTCTTTATGTGTGATTTAGCAGTGTCTTGGTGGACAACAACAAACAGCAATTCCCCATCTTCTCTCAGCTCACCCCTCCCCACCTGGATGATGGCCAGAGGTAACCTGCACCTTCCAAGTCTGTGGACAACAAGCCCTCACCGCCAGTGCTCAGGATTCCCAGAAGCTTTCTAGTGAATTTAGCCAGTGCTTTCAGTGGACTTTCCAGCAAGTCTACAGCAACCCACACAGGTAGCTTGCCTGCAAAATTTTATTAGGGTACCGGCAGGTAATTTTACACCTACCAGCTGCATCTCTGATCAAAAACGGTGGAAAACTTCACCATTCTGTGGACTTCAATGACTCTCTCCAAAGAGATCTGATAGATCTGATCTGATCCCCATTCCACCTGAGGATTCTCCTCTTCAAAATGTGTTCCTTCCTTGGATGCCTGTGTTCAAACCTAGAGTAGCCTTTAGAGTTCTCTCTTTTCCTCCATGTAAGCAATTCCCAATTATTCTAATCACCTTTTAATAACTTTTATTTTAAACTTTCTCTATTCAAATACAAGGGGTGTTTGGATTCAATCATAAATGCATGACATGAATTCAGAATACATTTATAAATTAAAAGTGTAGCACATCTTTGATACTTAGTTGTTTGAAAACAAAAAGAAAAAATACACATTTTCTTGCTCATAGCATGAAATACTTTACAAGATAAATATTAACATGTTTGTATAAAAAAATTCCTGCTTGATACCTCATAGGGAATAAGATTTTAAAATGAAAGTTGTATGAAATTCCTGTTTCTAAACATCTCTGCTCTTTACGTGAATGAACAATTTAGAGGAAGATAATTTTGATTGTTTAAGTCTGTTGGTCACAAGATTATTTTTTCACACTTATTATAACTGAAGAGCCTGAGACTCATGATGCATCTTATTCTTCAGTTTGTCAATCACAGCTTTAAGCTCTTTCTATAATGATCAGTAAAATGACTATCCTCTGTCAGAACATGCTTTGAATTTTATCTAGAGTAATGTACAATGGAAAATAGTTAAGTAGTACATGAATTTGAGAAAAATAAAGATGTTAAAGCATTTAAAATAGTTTCTGTGTGTGAGCAACAGGCCTTGATACGATTCATCAATTAGCCATCAGATTTTGGCTTTACTGGGAAGGGGACATGCCCCTGGTCAAGGTGGCTATTCTCAGCTCAAGAATTTCCGATGGATTACCAGGGAGGGTTGCTCCCAGAAGCTGGAATAGAAAGCCTTTCATTGCTGGAAGTATAACTAGGTGATGCATCGCAGCATCCATGCAGTGAGTGAAGGCTGACGTGTGCTCTGGGGTTGGTACTTAGGCTGCTTTTCATTATGGCACGGGTAGTCTCCCTTTCTCATGGATGGTTCCAGCCACAAACAGCACGACCCTCTCCCACAAATTGTGGAGTGACATCTTCTGACATTAAGCCCACAGTTCTGTGACCTTCTTCTGGCTCAATGTGTGTGCGTATGTCTGATCCTGCGTGTCTGAACATGTTTCTGGGGTGGCATTTGATCTGTGGAGAGGCCCTGCTGTTATGATCCGTCACTTGTCACTTATGCAACGTCTCTAGGTATGGATGGATGCAGCCCTCTGTTTTAGTAGAAATATTATTTTAAGAATGTTTTGGAATCTGCTTTTAGTGTTCAGTATAATGACACCTGCTTTCTACCATTTAGTGAGTTAATTTATCTGCCCTTCATACTTTCCAGAGCTGTTTTCTAATTATTTACTTTTATTTATAGCCTAAATTCTTTATCTTTTCTGTTATTCTCAGGATTCATAACTGACTGCGGGTGTCTAAAGCATGTGCTTTTTTTGCTAAACTGGAGGGTGTGGTTGATAGTTTTACATTACAGTGTTCATGCGTTACTTAGGAACTTAAAAATCTGTATATATTTATGAATATTTTTAAGAGTAATTTTTAAAAGATTCAGCTCTTATTTCCTAAAGTTATTTGTACATCCTGTGTTAATTCACAACTTCACAATTCAGTGATTTTAATTTATAGGAATACATTTTTTAAACTCAGCAATCACTAGTCATAAAACATTCCATTTCTCTAGAAATAAGTAATTTTTTTATCACTATACCTTTTTCAATTTTCTAACTTTCATAATTTTTCTATTTACTGCTCTTCATAAACAACATTTATTTCTTCAAGCTATTTTTTGAACACCAAATGACTACAATTTATCTTTTATGTAATACTTTGATACATTAATAATTTATTTCAAATGGAATTTGTGTTATCCCTTAAGCAATTCACTTTTGTGCCTTTTTATCAACTTATGACTGTATTAATTATCCTTATTTTGAAGCCGACAGATTGAAATTTCAGGAATACCTAGTATTCTTGTGTTTTACTTTATTTCATTTCACAGACATTGTGTTTTTTAAAAGTTCAGAGTTTGTGGCAACCCCGCTCTGAGCAAGTCTATTGACGCCACTTTCCAAAAGCCTGTGTGCACTTTATGTCTCTGTGTCAGCATTTTCCAGCAAGAACCTATTTTTAAATTAAGGTGTATACATTGGTTTTTAGACATATTATTTCACACTTAATAGACGATAGTATAAACATAACCTTTAGATGCACTGGAAAACCAAAAAAGGTGCTTTATTGCAGTGGTCTGGAACCAAACCCATAATATCTCTAAGATATACTTGTATTTAGTTTGCAATTCATGTCATTTTCTGTAGCATCATTTTCAAATAAATTGTTCATAAATAATATACTTGTTATTTTTAATATTGTCTTTCTGTTCTGTGAACTTTGAAATAGAAGAATTCATAGCAAATATCTACATATTTTAAATGGCAGTATGTCTATAAAACTGACAATTTTAAACTGTTAATCAATAAAATCCTTATTAAATGTCAATTTGAATATTAAATGTCAGATAGTGGGAATAAAGTTAGGGTATAAAGGTAGAAACTCTGTTAACAATAAGATAAATAAAAAATAATGTAAATAAGCTTGGTGCCATGGTTCAGACATGTAATCTCAGTACTTTGGGAGGCCAAAGTGGGATCACCAGGGGTTGGGAGTTTGAGACCAGCTGTGGCAACATAGTGAGACCCCTGTCTCAACAAAATATAAAAATAAAAAATTAGCCAGACATGGTGGTACACACCTGTAGTCCTAGCAACTTGAGAGGCTGAGGTGGGAGGATCACTTGAGCCCAAGAGTTCGAGGTTATAGTGAACCATGTCACGGCAACCCAGCCTGGGCAACACAGGGAGACCCTGTTTCAGAAAAAAAAAAAAATAAGTAAACGCTATTTGAATTTTCATTGATGTAAATGGTACTTGATTGATAATTGTAAGCAAAAGTATTATCTTGTCATTTTTGCAACATAATAATATAACAGTTTTAATAATTATCTTCATAAGCACCACGTTCTATTTTTTTTTACAATAGGGACATTTCAGAATATATATTTATTCATTTATCGTATTTATGTGTACTGTTCTCTTTAGTATACAAAGCATGAGACTAAATGCTGTATATAAAAGTGTACAAAAGTGGTGACCTAATACATAGTATATGTATAAAATTGGTGACCTAATACGTAGGAGCCTTAAGGTTCAAGCAGAGGTATAATGGAAGCAGAGAAGAGGTATTAAAATAAACTCAATAAACAGTAGACAAAGCTGGAAGACCAATAATTCATTTTATTTTCTAGATTACAAATTACTCTAAAGACATTTACAGTTTTGCTTGCACAGAACAGACAGTGTCAAGATGGCGGTAATGAGAACAACTTTCCCAAAGGAATGTGAGACTATGCGGCCTGAAGAGTGAATGAGGAGAGTGGCGAGTACACTGTGCTCTTCGCTGCTAACATTGGTCAGATAAAAAGCGACTTCAATTATGCCACTGTCATAATCAGAACCAAAAAGTGCGATCCCATTAGCAAACAGGAATCCTTTTTATAGTTTTTTTTTCTTCTTCTTTTTGAGATGGGGTCTTGTTATGTCGCCCAGGCTGGTCTCAGACTCCTGGGCTCAAGCGTCCTCCTGCTTCAGCCATTCACACTGCTGGGATTGCAGGTGTGAGGCATTGTGCCTGGCCTGCAAACAACAATCCTTAAGAGTAGGAGTTTGCCCACTTTCAAAACGTTTTGGGGTGATGAGACTGTCTTGGAAGCAGATAGACGCTCCACAATCTTGTGAATGAACCAAATGACACTTAATTTTATGTGTTAAAATAATTAATAATTAATTTTACATATTGTAAATTGGACCTCAATTTAAAGCAAATGAAGATGAATGAAATATAAATATCTTGTCCTCTTGCTTTGGGCCAAGGTATCAAACAGCCATAGCCAATATGCTCCCTTACATGCTTATTATTTTTTTTCAATATGTGCCACTGAATTTTTTTCAGTAAGGATTCTCCTTCCATCAGTGCTCTTTTTCCTTCAAAGAATTAAATTCCTGATGGAAACTTTGTAGGGAATTCCTGGCACTCTGTTTGCCCTTAAAATCCTCTTGCTCATATTCAAAACAAGAAAAATACATCAATAAAAAAATGTTCATGCGCTTTTCTTCTTTTCCAGGTATTCATTCTGTCAGATGAAGCCACAAGAGAAATTAGATTTGTTACAGAGGAAATGAAAGAGAAATGAAGAGTTAATGTTCAGATTTAGCACACAGATGGCTCATTTCAGTCCCTAGAATAGCACTGTCCAATAGACATATAATGTGAATCACACAGATAATGTTAAATTGTCTGGAAGGCATAATTTTTCAAAACTAAAAAGAAACATTAAATTAATTGTATTTAACCAAATATGTACAAAAAATTTCATTTGAACAAAAATATTATCCAGCTATTTTATATTATGTTTTTCATAAGTCTGTAAAATGTGGCATATATTTTACACTCATGACACATATCAATTTCAACAATCTGCATTTCAATTACTAAATGGCCACTTGTGAGTAATAACTATTGTATTAGACATCAGAGCCCTAGAAAATACTTGAAATGCAAATGGTCATACATTTTTGTAAAAAGCGATTTAAAACTTATTTAAAATATTTAAGCTTCTTATATAAGAGGCAGGCCTGACTGCTTGAATGTTCAGTTTTATCATATAACACAGCTAAACACTACAATGTATAATGGAATGAACAGTCCTCATTCTTCCAGGAAGCAGGGAAATCCTGTACTTTTTCTTCTGAAAGTCAGAAGGGTGAGAAAATTATAGGAAACAAAGTGAGGGAAGCATGCAGTCAGACTGGTTGTATCTTGGCTACAGACTACAAATTAAAATTCTGAAGAGGATGGGTGTTCATTAGGTTAACTGAAAACCTAATCATAATTGTAAGGGTCAACCAGTGTGGTCTTATGCCAAAAGCATAGTTATGAAAAAGAAAACATTATGTGTATTACATGCGTAGACAAAAAGAATGAGAACTCCCTGTCTTAATAAATAGATTTTTGGTATTTAGTGGATACAAAAATCCCATATTTCTGTGGGTGATTAAAAGAGTCACTGAGTTGAGAGCCTTCTGGATAGAGGCAGTGGACACTAACCAAAAAAGCTAGAAAGCAACAACTCTTTATGCAAAGATAGCATGAAGAGTGTTCATTCAGAGGTCTGCAGGTCAAAGCATGTCAACAAAGCAGTATCACAGTTCTTGCCTGAATCATAGGACTGCAACAACTTAAGTTTTCCCTTTTTCAAGGGCAAGAATATACATTACCTACAGACCTGGCCAGACTATTCATCTCACTGTAGGGAGTCATCACTGCACAGAAGATAAAGCAAAGACCAGTGTTGAAATATTAACATTACTCTCTAGGTACAAACAAAACCAGGCAAGCCTCCTATTATTTACACGCACCTTAAAACCCAAACAAAACAAACCAGAAACAGAATAAAAACAAGAAGTTCTCCAAAGGAGACAGGCTCATAGACCAGAGAAATAGAGATTGTTTTAAAACCCAGAGACTAGAGTAAGTTCGTTGGTAAGTTAAATGTTCTCCCACAACCCCTGGTGCCTTGAAGCTCAAGAGGCTTAACATAGAAACTGAAGAAGCTGCAGCTTTTTTGCAATTTTGTGTATAAACTTGTCATCTTGTTATGTATCTCTATACAATTATTTTGCAAGATCAGTGTTATTCTTTCTCAAATGGAGGAATTCAGGTCAATCCTTCCATTCCATCTTTATAAAAAAGTGGAAGAAACAGAAAAACAAATATTCATAAAGGATCCAGTCTTAAGGCATCTTCTTGTTCTCTTTGTCCCATGTCATGAATGTTCACTCAGCATTGACCTTCCTCAGTCTCATAGTCCTTAAGCTACCCTACAAGGCTACATGGTAGAGGTACTCAGACTCACACAGGACATTACCCTCAATACATTGCTTACAAAAATAAGATAGTCTTTTGTCCCTAAAGCCAGTCATTGCCCAAGCTTTCAAAGCCTCACTTGTAAGCAATCTATATTCCACAGAAACCACACCTAGAACTCCTTAAATGGATGAACTCTCCCACATTGCCCTTCATAAAGAGATCTTTCTGCAGCTGTTTGCACATACACTTACCCTGCACTTAAAACTACCTCTTTTTACACCCTGTCTTATCATTCACTCATGAGTTATCAATAATAAATAATGTCTGATACTAAGCGCATACCAAAGTCATGCACTGTTCTGAGGAATTTATAATCATCTCATAATTCTTCAAAAACAATTCTTTGAGGAATGCAATACCATTTCTTACATTTTATAGATCGAAACTGAGTATCTGGAAGTTGAGTAGGGACTAGTATTACATTCTGGGCAGGTGAACTTCTACACCACGGTTTTTGGTTGTTAGAGTGCCCTGCAAGCAATGTCCTTTGCAAGTTTAGGTTTTCTTACTTCTTTTCCAGACTAAAGTATTCATTCTTGAAAATCACCCGAGTGATTTCAGACACTCTCAAAATAGTTATAATTTCCTTGTTGCTTTTATGTATGTTGTTGCTTTAGAAACAAATATAAAATAAAACAAAACTGTGATCAATTAAAAAAGAAATGAGAATAATAATGGGAATAACAAAGATAATTTAGTTAGAGTTGTAGTCAAAATTACAATTATGTGAGATATAATTTTAAGTCAATTTTTCAAAAATAGGAGAAATGTTTTGATATTAATTACGTGGCCAAGTTTCAGTCACAGTTATAGAAGCAGGGATTCAGTAGTCTCCAAGTGTAAATTTCCACTCATTTTCTACTCCCTAAAATGACTTGTGTAAGATTAACTTTATTTGTTCCTTAATTTCTTAAAGGAAAACATGTTTAAGAAAAATTCACCACTGGGTCCATCATATCTTTGGTCTTTCTGTATTGAAAGGTTTTTAAAAAATGTCTTTATAATATTTTAATGATATCAGAGCCTTCATGTCTTATATTTCTTCTCCAGTAGTCTTCAGTAGGGTAATTATTTGGAGAATTAATCTACTTTATTCAAACTATCAAATGTAATGTTTAGTTGCTCACAATGTTCACTTGTTACTTTAAGTTTGTCAGGAAGATTTGGGATGATACTCTTGTTTGGTATTATTCTTTTTTGGAAGAATTGGAAACATCTGATTTTGGAAACATCTCTATTTAGTCTCTATCATCTTGCTATAAATTTATTAATTTAATAAATCTTTTTAGACGGACTATGGTTAGCTTTCTTGATTTGCTCTATTTTATGTTTGTTTTCTATTTCATTGACTCTTGTTCTAGGTTGGATTATTTCTTCTTTGTCCTTCAGATTTGATTTTCCGGTTATTCTTCTAACTTTTTGAAATGGAAAATTAAGTCATTAATTTTCTTCTGATTTTTCTTCTCTAGTATATATGTTTAAGGCTATCAAATTATTTCTAAGTATTATGATAGCTGCATCATACAAGAGAGAATATGCCGTGGCTGCCATATTATCATTATGTTCAAATATTTTTAAAATTTGTATATGGTTATTTAACTTTATAATTATTTAGCAGTGTATACATTTTACTCTGCAAATTGGATTTTTTTCTGGTTATCTACTTGTTTATTTTTAGCTTAAATCCGATTTTTGTTTAAGTTCTGAAAAAACACAAAGGATTTTAATATTTTGAAATTGGTCATTTTCTTTATAAGTCAATGTCGTAAATGTTGCATAAACAATTGAAAAGAATGTAATTATGCAAAGTGTTCCATAAATGCCTATTAGGTCAAATTTAATGATTGTTTTGTTCACACATTTTACAGCCACACTGATATTTTGACTGGTAATATTAGCTGTTGAGGAAAATGTGTTGAAGTCCCACCACCAGAATTATGGAATGTCTGTATTTAATTTATTTCCATCAATGTTTATTTCATATATTCTAAGTTATATTATTGATTATATTCAAAATGATTGCACATATAATTATAAAATTAAAACAATAAATATTTTAGAGGGGGCTATAGAAAAATAGATTTATGATAATAATGTGGGATAGATAGTTTTAAAACATGTTTCACTAAGCACAATTTGTTATAGGAAAACACAGGCTATAATAAAATTGAGAACACTTGTTCTTCAAGAATTACAGTTAAGGAAGAAAAAGACAAGCTACTAATTAATGAAAGATCGTCACTGTACTTATATCGATTTATTTTATACAACAAATGAACAAGAAAATGCTAAATGATCCAAAAAGCAGCAAGAAGAAATGAGTATTTCACATTAAAGCATATTTAAATGGACAATAAGCATCTTTTTAAAAGATGTTTAACTCCATCAACCACCAGTGAAATGATATAAATTTTCACAAACAAGAATGGCTAAAATGAAAATGAATGACAATTCCAAGTTTTGTCCGGGATATGTACATCCAATATTTTATACACCGCTGGTGAGAGTATACATTTGAACAATGATTCTGGAAAAATATTTTTCGTTATCTTCTAAAATTGAACATATGTGTATCCTGTGGCCCCCTAAGTGCATTTGAAGATATATACACAAAATGAATTAATACACTTGTTAATTAAATTATATTTACTAAAAAGCTTATAGCTATACTATTTATAATAGCACTCACTTCCCCAAAATATACTTTATTCCCATCAAATTTGAATGTATAAATAAAATAGGGTATATAGATACAATGAAATGCTGTAAAACATGACTACCAAAACTTAGAATACATTATCTGTGTACAACTATGAAGATTAATCTCACTAACAAAATGCTAAGCAGAAGAAGTCAGACACAATAGAATATTGACTGTAAGCCACAATTTATCTAAAGAATGATTTAGGTAAAATAAATTTACTTGAAACTAGGACTATGGTGACATTTGAGATAGGTAGTGTCTGGAAGGGAGCATGAGGTGGTAATTGAAATAGTGGTAGAATTTTATTTCCTAATCTGAGTTACGATTGTTGGTTGCACACGTGTGTTCAATTTGTGCAAATTAAGCAAACTATGATTTTGACATACACATTTTATTATATGTATATTAGATATTATATATGAAAAAAGTTAAAATACACAAGACAATATCATCAGTGTTTCAAATAATAAATTATTTGCTTATATTAATTTTGGCAAGCATGTGGATTAATGAAGAAAATACAAATTTTTGACAACCACCTTAGAGATATTTTTGGTAGGATTCATTTTTAATGTAAAGCTTTTGGTTTTGTTTTTTTTCCAGGATGGCAGATTGCAGGCAGTGTTAGCATGCCTCTCTCACTTGGACAGACAAAATAGTGTGTAGAGATTCACAGTATAAGATTCAATGCAAGAACTTAACAGAAAAAAAAAAAAAAAAAAAGAATCCACAGACCTTTTGAAGGCAGCGCCAGGCTGCAGCTTACTCCATGAGACAGGCAAAAATCTATAAGTCCTCAGAGTGTGAGAGGGAGAGAGACTGCCTTTAGGATATACATTTCCATCAGGGAACCTAAGAATTCAGGCCAAGGGAGAAGACCTTAACCCTACCCAGGGCTAGAACTGATTGAGGGAGCAGTGAGAAATATAAAAGTTGAAGCAGCAGCAAGAAAGATCTTTCAGACAAACAAATGCTGAGGGAATTTGCCCCTACCAAACCAACTCTACAAGAAATGTTAAAATGAGTCTAAATCCTGAAACAAAAACTCAATATAAACCAAATAGAACCTTCTAAAAGTATAAAATTCACAGGGTCTATAAAATAATAGCACAATGAAAAAAAAACACAAAGTAGGTAACAACTAACATGATGAATCTAACAGTATCTCACATCTCAATATTAACATTGAATATAAATGGTCTAAATACTCCACTTAAAAGATACAGAATGGCAGAATGGATTTTTAAAAATCACATACCAAATTTCCTCTTTCTTCAAGAGACTCACTTAACACATAGGGATTTCTATAAACTCAAGGCAAAAGAATAGAAAAAGATATTCTATACAAACACAAATAAAAATTAAGTAGGAGAAGCTATGCTTACATCAGACAAAACAGACTTTAAAGAAATAGCAGTATAAAAAGACAAAGAAGGGTATTATATAATGATAAAAGAATCAGTCCAACAAGAAGATATTACAATCCTAAATTTATATGCACCTCACACTAAAGCTCCCAGATTTTTAATAAGATTATTACTAGACCAAAGAAATGAGACAGACAGCAAAAAAATAATAGTGGGGGACTTTAATACTCCATTGACAGCACTAGACAGATCATAAAGACAGAAAGTCAACAAAGAACCAATGGACTTAAATTATACCCTAGAACAAATGGACTTAACAGATATTTACAGAAATTCTTCCCAAGAATTGTAGAATATACATTCTCATCGGCACTTGGAACATTCTCCAAGATAGGACCATATTATAGGCCACAAAATAAGTTTTAATAAATTTAAGGTAATTGAAATTGATATATCAAGTACTTTCCCAGACCACAGGGAAATAAAACTGGAACTCAACTTCAAAAGGAACCCTCAAAATTATACAAATACATGGAAATTAAATAATCTGCTCTTGAATGATTTTTGGATTAACAATGGAATCAAGATAGTAATTTAGAAAATTCTTTGAAATGAACGATAATAGTGACACAAGTTATCAAATCCTCCAGGATACAGCAAAAGCAACGCTAAGAGGAAATTTTATAGCATTAAATGCCTATATCCAAAAGTCTGAAACAGCACAAATGGTAGCCTCTTGTCACGCTTCAAGGAACTACAGAAACAGGAGCAAATTAAACTGAAAGCCAGGAGAAGAAAAAAAAAAATCACAAAGATCAGAGCAGAATTAAATGAAAGGGAAACTGGAAAAATACAAAAGATAAATGACACACAAAAAAACTGGTTTGTTGAAAACATAAAAGAAAGTGTTGGACCTTTAGGGAGATTAACCAAGAAAAGAAGAGATAAGATTCAAATAAGCTCAATTAGAAATGAAACTAGAGACATTACAACTGATGCCACAGAAATACAAAAGATTATTCAAGGCTACAATGAACACCTTTAAAAGCACAAACTAGAATATCTAGATGAAATGAATTAATTCTTGGAAGCATCTAATCCTCCTACATTAAACCAGGAAAAAATAGAAATCCTGAACAGAACAATAACAAGCAGTGAGATTGAATCAGTAATAAAAAAACTGCCAAGGAAAAAAAATGTCTACAACCAGGTTGATTCACAGCTGAAGTCTACCAGACATTCAAGGAAGAATTGGTAGCAAGCCTACTGAAACTATTCCAAAAGATACAGAAATAAGGAACTCTCCCTAAAGAATTCTATGAAGCCAGTTTCACCCTAACATCAAAACCAGGAAAGGACATAACAAAAAGGAAACTAGACATCATATAAACAAAATTAAAAACAAAAAACCATATAATTATCTCAATAGACACAGAAACAGCAGTAGATAAAATCCAGTATCCCTTTGTGGTAAAAGCTCTCAACAAAGTAGGCATAGAAGGGACTTACCTCAAAGTACTAAAAACTGTATATAACAAATCCACAGCCAACATCGTATTGACTGAATAAAAGTTTACAGCATTCCCCCTGAAAACTGGAAAAAGAATAGGATGCCCACTTTCATGACTTCTATTCAACATAGCACTGGAAGAGAAATAATGCAAGAGAAAGAAATAAAGGGCATCAAAATTAAAAAAGAGGAAGTCACACTGTCACTGTCCTTTGATGATATGATTACATACCTAGAAAACCCTAAAGACTCATCCAAATAGCTCCTAGATTTGATAAACATATTCAATAAAGTCTCAGGTTACAAAATTAGTGTACACAAATCAGTAGTACTGCTATACACCAACAACAACCAAGCTGATAATCAAATAAAGAACTCAATCGCCTTTACAAAAGCTGCAAAAAAACACAAATACCTAGGAATATACTTATCCAAGGAAGTGAAAGTTCTCTACAAGGAAAACTGCAAAACGCTACTGAAATAAATCATAGATGGCACAAACAAATAAATGGAAACACATCCCATGCTTATGGATGGGAAGAATTAATATTGCAAAAATCACCACTATCCCCAAAGAAATCTACAGATTCAATGCAATTCCCATCAAAATCCTATCACCATTTTTCACAGAAGTAGAAGAAACAATTCTAATATTCATATGGAACTAAAAAAGTGCCCCAATAGCCAAAGTAATCTAAGCAAAAATAACACATCTTGAGGCATGACATTACTGGAATTCAAATTATGCTACAAAGTTACAGTTATCAAAACAGTATTACACTGGTGTAAAAACAGGCACTTAGACCAATGGAACAGAAAAGAGAACCCAGAAACAAAGCCAAATACTTACAGCCAACTGTTCTTCAACAAAGCATACAAAAACATAAACGGGGGAAAAGAAACCCTATTTAAGAAATGGGGCTGGGTAACTGGCAAGCCACTAGTGGAAGAATTAAACTGGATCCTCATCTTTTCCCTTATACAAAATCAACTGAAGGTGTATCAATGACTTAAATCTAAGACCTGAAACCATAGAAATTGTAGAAGATAACTTTGAAAAAACTCTTTGGAACATTGGCCTAGGCAAATAATTAATGACTAGGACCCCAAAAGCAAATTCAACACAAACAAAAATAAATAAATGGGACGTAATTAAACTATAAACCTGCTGCATAGAAAAAAAATATTTATTTTGCTATGCAGAGTAAACAGAAAACCCACAGAATGAGAGAACATATTTGCAAACTATGCATATGACAAAGGACTAGTATCCAGAATCTATAAGGAACTCAAACAAATCAAAAGAAAAAAAGCAAATAATCCTATCAAAAAGTGGGTAAAGGATGTGAACAGGCATTTCTCCAAAGAAGATATACAAACATTTATCCAAAGAAGATAAAGATACACAAACACATTAGTGTGCTCAACATCACTTATTATCATGGAAATACAAATTAAAACCACAATGAAATATCACCTTAATCTTGCAAAAATGACCACAGTTGAAAAGTCAAAAACAATAGATATTTGTTGGATTTGGCGAAAAGGAAGAACTGTTATACTTCTTGTGGGAATGTAAATGAGTACAACCACTATGGAAAACAGTATGGAGATTCCTTAAAGAACTAAAAGTAGAACTTTCATTTGATCTAGAAATCTCAATACTGGGTATCTATCCAAAGGAAAAGAAGTCATTGTATGAAAAGAACACATGCACACACGTTTATAGCAGCACAATTAGCAATTGCAAAGATATGGAATCAACCTAAGTGCCCACTGACCAATGAGTGATCAATAAAGAAAATGTAGTGTATATACACCATGGAATACTACTCAGCCATAAAAAGGAATGAAATATTTGCTGCAAGTTGAATGGAGCTGGGGCCATTATTTGAAGTGAAGTAACTCAGGAGTGGAAAACCAAATACCATATGTTCTCATTTATAAGTGGAAGCTAAGCTTTGATGAGTCCAAGACACACAGAATTATATAATGGACTTTGGGGCCTCAAGGTCAGAGGTTGAGAGGGGAGTGAGAAATAAAAGATTACATATTTGGTACAGTGTACACTGCTTGGGTGATGGGTTCATTAAAATCTCAGAATTCACCACTGTAGAACTCATCCATGTAACCAAAAACCACCTGTACCCCCAAAACTATGGAAATAAAAAAATAAATAAAAAATAAAAGTTACTATAAAGACCAGAAACACTACTTCTGAGTAAATGACAGAGAAGTTCTTGCAACTTTATAGAAGTAGAAAGGCATATGAATGTTTATAGCATGATGTTCATAATAATAAATTACTGAAAATAGAAAAATTCTATTTGTAGAACAATATCACATATAGGTCAATCTTTACATACATAGATATAGATAGATGTAGAACTCAGAAACATAATTTTGAGTGGTAAAAGCACACTGTATAATAATGTTATATGATATTGCACATGCAAATATAAAAATTTCATAATACCATATGTTTTTGAGGATTCTATATATACAGTGTATGCAAAGGTAAACAATGCATTTGAAATATGACCACTACATTTATCATAATAAACCATTTTGATAAAAGAAAGAATAGTCACTGAGACAGGATTAAATCATACTAATTTATTCTGAAATGTGTCACTTTATATACAGAAAAAATGATCAACTTAAGAAAAACCCTAATAGATTACGACTCTTATTTGTGGGTACGTGGTTGCTATGGCTTGGAAGTGATTTGTCGCTGACAAAACGCATGTTGAAATTTGATTCCCAATGTGGCAGTGTTGGGAAGTGAGACCTAGTAGGCGGTGTTTGGATCACAGGGCAGATCCCCTTGAATACATTAATGCTGTCTTAAGGGAGTGAGTTCACAAGCCGGTTGCTCCTTCTCTTGCTTGGATTCTTTGCAGATGCCCATTTCCTTCCTTATGCTTTCACTATGAGTTTAAACACAGTGAGAACATCAGCAGATGGGCTGCCCAATCTTGGACTTCCCAACCTCCATAATTGTGATCCATATACACTTATTTTCTTTATAAGTTACCCTGTCTTGCATATTCTTTTATAGCAACACAAAATAGACTAAGAAAATGAATAATTGTAGTTAATTTCTCTGCAGCCAGGAGATTAATTTCAGGAGATTATTATACTAGTTCTTGTTCTGTCAATGAAAAGTTTATGAACAAGGAAAGTACTTCCATTCTGTGGTAAATTTCCTCATATGTAAAATGGAGAATTTGACTTATATAATTTATAATACCATTTGGTGGAATATATATCTTTTTACTATTCTACTGCAAACATAAGCCCAAAATATATTATGAGATTTACAAACTGAATCTGCATAAAACACCAAATCTCACATTTATTACATAGCTATTTTCCTTGTTACTTACATAGCCGGCAACTATACATTTAAAATCTTGTTTTAAATCAAGTTGTAGCTCCTACTGGAGAAAATAAGTGGATAGCAATTTGTCTAAAATATCATCTTTTAATATGCAGCAAATAATCAATTATGCCATTCTCTTCCATCTGGAAAAATCTGCTATCATAGTGCCTCTTAATCTAAGACTTTATGTCATTTTAGAGGAAGCAAAATATAAAATGAAAGTTTATATTCATAAGCTACATAAATACAACATAGTCTCTGCTTTACATTTAGTATGCATAGGATCGCTACTGGATTTGAGACTAGCACTGTAGATTTTCGTTTTCTGAGATAAGTTTTATATAACCTGTTGTAAATTCTAGCTGGTCCAGCATTTTAAATAATAGTGTATAGAGATAAATCCTTTAGGTTGTTTAAGGATACTTAGCTTATTTTTTTTAAGCTATCACAGTCATTACAGCTAAGACTGTAAATTAATTTTGTCTTTTGTGTGGTTAATTTTATGTGTCAACTTGGCTAGGCTATGGTGCCCAGAAATGTCGTCAAACATCCTGAATGTTCCTCTGAGGGCATTTATGGATGAGATTGACATTTAAATTGGTGGACTTCGAGTACAGCAGATTGCCCTACATAATGTGGTTATGCCTTACACAATCAGTTGAAGCCTTGAATAGAACAAAAGAATGACCTCTTTCCAAGCAAGGAGAGATTCTATCAGAAGATAGCCTTTGGAGTTAAACTATGACATCAGTTCTTTCCAGGATCTCTAGCTAATCAGGTCACCCTGCGATTTTTTTTTTTCTTTTTCTTTTTAGATGGAGAGTCTCGCACTGTCATCTGGGCTCTAATGCAGTGGCGTGATCTCAGCTCACTGCAACCTCCACCTCCTGGGTTCAAGCAATTCTCCTGCCTCAGTCTCCAGAGTAGCTGGGATTACAGGCCCCTGCCACCATGCCCGGCCAATTTTTTGCATTTTTAATAGAGATGGGGTTTCACTGTGTTGGCCAGGCTGGTCTCCAACTCCTGACCTGGTGATCTGCCTGCCTTGGCCTCCCAAAGTGCTGGGATTACAAGTGTGAGCCACCACATTGGCCACACCCTGCAGAATTTTTAATTTATCACCCTTCAAAATTACATGAGCCAATTCCTTAAAATAAAACTCTATGTTCATGCACATCCTATTGGTTCTGTTTCTCTGGAAAACCCTGACAAATAAACCTTGCTGACACCTACATCTAAAGTTGATGTTTTTAATTCATTGCTAGGTAATGATACAAAATGTCAATCATTAATTTAAACAGTGAAGGTCTTAAAAGGCATTAAAAGTCTTTTTATTATTGCAAATGAATGTTTTGCTGCTTTGATCTTTTCCATCAGTCATATTCAGCAGGTTTTTTGTTGCTGTTGTTGTTTTTTTCAGTCTCTTCTACTGAATTCCTATGCTAGGTTCCAGAGGTTGAACAGGGGCACAACCTTCCCAGCATCAGACTGGATAACATAACTGGAGGGTCCATGACATGAGCATACCAGCTCTTCACACAGACTGGTAGCAGATATTAGCCAAATAATCTGGATGTCTGTTGTACTTCCCTCCTGGAAACCCTTGCTCTGGACTGAAAAGGGCAGTGAGCACAGCCAAGAGCTTAATATTATGGAACAAAGACACTTCTATATACAAAGTCCACTCAGAGCTGCCAAAAGTTGAAGTACAGCTTGGCTTTTGTACACCTGGCTTTGGCCCATCATACCAGTATAGTGTATGAAGAGATGGTCATCCTTATCGAGGCAAAGAGGAACTGGGCTGCCCTGGAATTTTTGAGTATGACTAAAAATATAATATACCACAACTAGAATATAATTAATCTTTTCCCCTCATTTCTTCTCTCTTTTCTTCCTTCTTTCTTCACTTCAGTCCTTCTTTCTTACTTTAGATGCATTTATTTATTTAATATCATTATTATTTCAGAAGTATGGGTCTCACTCTGTTGCACAGGCTCAAATGCAGTGACTATTCACAGGTATGATCATCACACACTACAGCTTTGAACTCCTGAGCTTAAGTGATCTTCCCACTTCAAGTCTCCCAAATAGCTGGAACTATAGGCATACAACCAGCTTCAATGTATGTATTTTTAATTATTTTCTAACTGTGTAATTCACACATGTATATACATCCTATTTTTAAATATTTAAATATTTCAAATATATCTTTAGAAACATTTGTATTTCTTTATTATAGGGTTGCAAAGGTGGACTGTGTTGACTGAAAGAAATATTACGTAGATACTACCTATTGCTTTTCGAAGAGGCTTTTCCAGTTAACATTCATAACAACTATGTATGAAATTTCTATTTTCTTATACTCAAATTAGAATTGAATTTTATTAAACTTATTGAGTTGTTTGTTTTTCTTTCTTTCTTTTTTTTTTTTTTTTTTTTTTGAGACAGAGTCTCGCTGCATCATCCAGGCTCCAGGCTAGAGTACAGTGGCACCATCTCTGCTCACTGCAACCTCTGCCTCCCGGGTTCAAGTGATTCTCTTGCCTCAGCCTCCCAAATAGCTGGGACTACAGGTGCATACCACCACATCTGGCTAATTTTTGTATTTTTAGTAGAGATGGGGTTTCACCATATTGGCCAGGCTGGTCTTGAACTCCTGACCTCATGATCTGCCTGCCTTGGCCTCCCAAAGTACTGGGATTACAGGCATAAGCTACCATGCCTGGCTTTAAACTTATTGTTTTAAATTCCGTTTCTAGCCAGCTTTCCACTAACTTGGAGTAGCACTTTCCATTGAGTTGGAATAGCAACTTAATTAAATTGGCTATATATGTATAAATAATGAGGTTTTTTTTTTTTGAGATGGAGTCTCGTTCTGTCACCCAGGGTGGAGTGGTGCAATCTTGGCGCGCTGCAACCTCCTCCTCCTGGGTTCAAGCGATTCTCCTGACTCAGCCTCTCAAGTAGCTGGGATTACAGGCGTGCGCCATCACACCCAGCTATTTTTGTATTTTTAGTAGAGACAGGGTTTCACCATGTTGGCCAGGATGGTCTTTATCTCTTGACCTCGTGATCCTCCCGCCTCGGCCTCCCAAAGTGCTGGGATTACAGGCGTGAGCCACCGCGCCTGGCCGAGTTTTTTGTCCTTATTTGGTAGTTTTTCCACTGTGCCATTAACATTTTGACAACATATTTCTACTTTTATTGTCACTTTCTGTGTCTATATTTATATATTTATTTTATATTTCCTTAACTAGAACTTATCATTAAACTTAAAAAAAATAAATTCTATTCTCAACTAGCTCACCTTACAGCAAAAAAGCCAGACAATAAATAGGCAATATGTCAGAGAAAGATAAGGGCTAGGAGAGAAGATACAGCAGGAGCAGAGTTAGAAAACAATAAGGTTTTATAAAAGACCTCATGATAAGATGACATTTCAGGAAAGACCTGAAGAAAAAGACAGTGATCTAGAAGCAGATTTATATAGCAGTCAAGAGGAAGGAATCCCAAGTAGAAGTTAGAGAATGTGCAAAGGTCCTGAGGTAGCAGCATGCCGAATGTATTTGAGGAACAGAAAAATAAATATGGGCAAAGAAAGTTAGGGTGATTAGGCAGAAGGTAGTGAAAGGTTATATATGATGACAAAGAAGATCTTTTTGTTTTTTGTTTGCTTTATAAATGAATGAGTACATCCTATTTGCTATTGAATAATCTAATGAGAAGGAATCAGTGTAGAAAAAGAACTTATGGAAGACAGAACCATTTTCTGGGTCATGATGGAATAAGTGAGAGTATTGGACTGAGCACAAAAATAGGTAAGATTTCCTTAGCAGGAAGAACCAATAGTCCCTCTGTATTAACAGAAGAGAAAGCTGAGTCTGTCCTGAGTGTGTGGAAACATGCACATGACAGTTCTCTTTTAATTGTCTTTAGAGTCTCAAAGATAAGAAAACAAGTAGTACCACTTAACATAAGGAGTAGGGAGAGAATATCGAGGATTTAGAGAGAGGTGCGTAGCCAGGAGCACTGACACACATCTGTAATCTCAGCTACTCGGGAAGCTGAGGCAGGAGGATTGCATGAGCCCAGGAGTTAAAGTCCAGTCTGAGTGACATAGCAAGACCCAGTCTGTAAAAATAAATAAATAATAAAATAGATAGAGAAAGGAAGAGAGAAAGAGACAGAAAGAAAGAAAAGAAAGAAGGAAAGAAAGAAAGAAAGAAAGAAAGAAAGAAAGAAAGAAAGAAAGAAAGAAAGAAAAAGCAAGAAAGAGAAAGAAAGGAGAAGAGAAAGAAAGGAAAGAAAGGAAGGAAAGAAGGAAAGAAAGGAAGGAAAGAAGAAAGAAAGAAAAAAGTATGAGAGTATAAAAGAGTGATATAGGAGAGCAGAAGATTAGTAGACAAAGGAAACGTAGTAAGTTAGCATTGAGAGCTTAGTGGATTTGCGGTCAAATTTAAAATAAAAGTAGTCAGTATAATTATGTATTTTTCTACAATCAGGGTCCAAGATCTGAGGAGGAAGAATGTCAGATTAATGAAAACTTTTTGCACAATAATGTTTCTATCTGAGCCTAGCCCTTTTTAAAGTATATCATTTAAACATTTAAAACAGAGAACTTAAACATCAGCTTCCTCTCTTCCTTCTACAGCTCTTTATTTTTCAAGCATTTTATTATTCTACTTCAAATGCAGGCTCTTTTTTATCCCCTGTAATTTCCAAATCTGTGTTTTTTCTTAGATTTATTTTCACCTCTACATGGTAATTCTTTGCTGTTTTCTCAAAATAAATTAGCTCTAAAACTAGCAGTTGTAAAAGTCTTATAATACTTACATGGATGAACTAAGAATTAAGTCTTGGACTGGCTCCCACATGTAATGAGTTTAAATTTAGTTCTTGTCGATTAAAAGAGTCAAACTCTGTAAAATATTTAAAGAGATTTATTCTGAACCAAATAAGAGTGACCATGACCCATGAGACAGCCCTCAGGAGCTTCTGAGAACATGTGCCCAAGGTGGTCAGGGTACAGCTTGGTTTTATAGATTTTAGGGAGACATCAATCAAGTACATTTAAGAAAAACATTGATTTGGTTCAGAAAGGTGGGACAACTCAAAGCAGGGGGGCTTCCAGGCTATAGGTGAATTTAAATATTTTCTGATTAACAATTGGTTGAGTTTATCTGAAGACATGGAATCAATTGAAAGGAATGTTTGGGTTAAGGTAAAGGATTGTGGAGACCAAGTTTTGTTGTGCAGAGGAATCTCTCAGCAGACTTTAGAGACAGAATAGGGTGTAAAATGTTTCTTATTAGACCTAAAAGGGTACCTGGCTCTTAGTTGATTACCTACTGGATCTGTAAAGAAAGGAAGGAAAACAAAAGGAGAAGGAGATTCTCTATAAAATGTGGATTTTTCCCAAAAGAAACTTTGCAGGGCAATGTCAAGGTATGGCAAGGAAATATATTGTGAGGTTAAATATTTTTTCCTTGTCTCATAATGTTATGCCAGAGTCAGATTGAAAAGTAAGTCACGATACATAGGCTCAAATACAACTCATCTGATGAGAATTTATGGTTTGTAGGGGATGAATCTCTAGATCCCTTAGGTAGGAATTTGGGCAAGATAAAAAAATCAGAGCTGAGTCCTCAGTCCCCACTCATGGCCAAAAAGCATCCCACAGAATGTGTATGCAGGCCAACAACATCAGATCCCATGGCACTAGGAAGGGTCATTCCTAGAGTTGTCTGATCTGGCCATTTGGTGAGGTCCTATGGTGCTAGGAAGGCTCATTCTTAGAGTAGCCTGGTTGATGGTAATAGTTTTAAATATTAGTGATTTGGATACTGGGGGGAGGACATGGTTTGAACTGATGTAATAGCCAATTGTTTAATGGGTTAGATGGAGTCAGGCCTAGGGTTTAATCTAAAAAAAAAAAAAAAATCCTGGATCAGATCTATTTTCTGAGCTGTCATGATCTAGGTCTTTAATTTTGCCTTTCCTTCTGCTCTATCTGGCATAACATTTATAAGAGATATATAATGCTAATACACTGACAAATACCATAAAGATAGCAAGGATTAGGCATCCAAGAAGGTAATAGGTAGAGTCAGAAGGCAGTAAACAACTTAAGCAGCCATAAACCCGAGGCATGTGTCATCATACTCTTTGATAAGACTCACAATATGCTTACCCTCCTTATCAAGGGTTATTTGGATGTTGTGATAAAACTTACTTGAGAATTGTTAGAACAATGTTAAATTAGAATTTTAAAAAGTTAATTTCCTTTCCAGCCAATTTATCTCCATAAGTATAGCATCCTGAGGAAAGTATAAATTAAAAGCAAGAAACACCTTGTCCTCAGTGTCTCAATTTTTATAGACTTGTTAACAGTAGACAAATCTATTTTCCCCTGACTGTTGTATTGCACCATATACTGGTATTTGGGAGAGAAAAGGTTTTGTCACATTAAAAGTCATATAATTCTAAAGTGTCATTTTTTCTTTGGCAGGATTCCCTATGGCTGTGTGCCTTAGGTGTCAAAAGACTTATAGCCAATTAATTGTTCTAGGCCAGACAGGAATGGATGTGGACAGGCATTTGTTACTTCTTAAAATTATTATTTTAAGTAAAAAGACTGACAGAAAAACCAAAAGGAAAAGTTACAAGACTGACTTCTTTTTAACTTCTATGTGTTGAGCTGCTGTGAGCTTGGTTTTTGTTATAGACTTATAGTTAGCTATACAAAACAGAAACATTGTTTTGAAAAATAAAAAAAAAACATATATACCTAGATAGATTTATCTTCACAACTCATAATTGGCAGTATTATCCCAAGAGGCTTTGTTACAAGGTATTTTATGCTGTTAGTACATATTTTCCTTTAATTTTATAGTAAGCCAAAAATTTTTATGGTTGGGGTAGATGTAAAAGTGACACATTGTACTTTAGAAGACAACTAACCTTGTTTTGCCAGCTGTTTAGGCATTTTTTGTACCCATTTCTTGATTTGGAGGGTTTGATCTTGTCCTAAGCTTATCCCTCAACACCAGCCCTTACAATCTTACACGCCCACCTCTTCTGCAATAGTCCCTGGGCCTAGAGGGAGGTAGCTTGTATAGTTCTAGTAGCAGAGCATTAGCAGTGAAACGGATCTGGGCCCAGTGGGATGCCAAATGAGGGAGATTTGTGTCTCTGGTTTTCAGAATACTATGATTTTTGTTTCCTTGGAAGTAAAACAAAAAGATAAATAACAATCATTGTTTGACAATTTTAAGAGTAATTTGTATGTCAGAAGAGAAAAAGGAACCTACTCTATTAGGGCACCAACTAAAAACATGAGGAAAAATTAAAATCTGGTACTTTCTAGAGGATTATTGTAGCCAAGAAATAATGATTTACTCTACTCAAAAAGTTAGGCCTAAAATCTATTATTAAATGTTACGTTTTACCCTTGAAACAATTTTTTAGCTGCATTTTTTATTAAAGAGAATATTATAGGAAGAACAATTTGTGTGCAAATTTAGTTTTAGGCTTATGCTTGCCTGATTATTTGCATAAAATGCAGCAAATAATTGACTTGCCATATAGACTCCTTTAAAGTTGGTTTTGCTGAAATTTACCTAAAAATAAGCTATTTTAGTTTCAGTTTTGGAAAAATAAACAATGTCTCCAATTGTTAAAAAAAAAATTATTGAACTTATGCAGACAACTATATTACATATAGTTATGCAGACAACTATATTACATAAAATTACAATCTGAATTTTGGAGGACTCAGAAAGGTAAATTTGCTTACATAAACATACTTTACCCAAATAACGAAAAAGAAAAAGATTTTTATGACCCCCCTTTAATCAGAGTAGCAGCTTTTAAGACAAGACGTTTGTTTACTTTGGAAATGGTATTTATAAACCAAACAGCTCATAAGAGTTATTAGACGCTATAGAATTTAGCAGCTTTTCCCCATTAGTCCTAGAAAAAATGCTCTCTGCTTATAAGGTAGCAATATTTTATGTAAATCAATTTTATTTCATCATGGAACTTTTTGGGAAACATTATTTCCATCAGTATAGGGGTAGCTTCAGTTAATATTCTGTAGCAAGGGAGTAAATGTCCCATCAAGTAGAAATTCTCTAGCTCAGTCGTTGTTATTGAAAAGTACTCACAGTTTTGCCAACACCTCCATAAATGCTCCACACAAAAGGCTATGCAGTGGAGGATTTACATGAGCAGATGTAAATGTCTTTAGTTTTATAGTACTAGAAAGGGGAAAACATCCCCCAGTTAGATATAGTACCCATTTTCATAAGACATTTAGATAAAAGGGGCTACAATTACCTTATATAAAGCTTGTTAAACATCTTACATTTTATAATTCTATTATCTTGTATGTTTTTATGTTCTGGTCCCAGGAAGCCTTTTTTTACCCCCAGACCATTTTTACCTTTTCTGGTGAAACGGGTTTGGGTTCCCAGCAGGGAGTTGCATCTGTAAGACCTATGAAGGAAAGCAGATTAGATAAGTCTTCTTACACAGACCTGTGATTCTGTGGGATGGGCACCCATGTAAAAGGGCCCTCTTAATCCCCAAATTTACCATGTCCTGGGTAATAGACATATTTGTTGGGAAGATATTCCAGTTATCATAAAGCCTAGTCCAACATGGCTTGCATATGAAACATATCAACTGCTTCATCTGGGGCACTTCACTTGGTATTTTATAGGGAGGGTTGGGCAGTCCCCTTCTCTGGGAAAGACAGATCTTATAATGGATTTATCTGGCCCACAAGGCTGATTGCTTTCTCAGGATAACACCCTGTGCATTTGGATCACATATACTCAGTCATTGTTCATGAATGAGCTGTGGGTCCTGCATTAATCCAAACAAGCTCTAAATTCTATAGCATTTAAAATTAAGAATTTTGCCCTTAAAGTGGTTATTTTTACAATCCAAAATCCACTATAGTAAAGGTTTTTTCTGATTTTTGGGTGTTGTTGTAGTTATTGTTTTTCAAAGCTGAATGAAACCAATTTACAAAATGGAACAATTCCTTTACATTACACCCTTTGGTTTTAAATAGTTACTTGATTTTGCCATTCCCCCATATCAACTATTTTCTTGGTAACCATAGGGCTCAGAGTTTTTTTGCCCTAGATTTCTTTTTTTTTCATTTAGTTTTATCTGTATAATTTCCTTCATTATAAAGCAACTCTTAAATAGTTCCTTAACCAAAACCCTTACATTTTTTTTTTGAAAATTGACATCCATGTGTTTTATAAAATTTTACCCAAAGTGTACTTTATGCTCCTATTATTTTAACTTTTAGTTACCCAAATTTCCATTGGAGGGGGTCACGGAACTGAGGTTTTAACATGACTTTAAGGTATTAAATTACTGGAGAGAGTTTTGAGATTAAATTTACCAAATTTATTTTTACCAAAGATTACCAAGGTCATGTGAATTAAAAGACATCTGAGCTAGTGTTTGCCAATTTGATAAGCATTTACATTTATTAAGCTAATTAATAGTTTTTCATGTAGTTTTTTAATAAAATATCATTTCTACATAACACATATAAAGATAGAGATATAACAGGCATGTAGAAAAAAAGACAGGTCCAAAAGGTATTTTATTTGCCTGTTTTCAAACATTTTCTCACCTACTTTAGATAATTAGTAAAAGTTACAGGAGGCAACAAAATATGAAGGAGAGAGCCATCATTCAAGGCCTTTTCGATATCAATCTGAAGATATCAATCTGAAGAATGTTAAATAAAACAGATTATAGAATACAAAAATTTAAAAATTTTGCATTAAAAGTTAAATATTTGTAATAAAAATCTTGTTTTAACTAATTTTTTAGTTTAGTATTTGTGTATTTTTAATATCAAAGACCCATTTCTAGAAAGACTATTATAATATCTTCTTAATCATAGCCAACTGAGTTATGCAATCCCTCTTAAAAATTCCTTCTTACTGACCTTACTATGACTTACATAGTTCATTCACAACATGTTTATACTGTTTTGTTTAAAATATCCCTTCTTTTTGTATAACTCTGTCATTTTTTTAATCTTAGGACAAAAATTTACCACACAAGATTCTTTCTTATATAAAATTACTTTTCTTTAAGCCTTTTGTTTTTTTTTTTTTTACCAAAAATACCTCTTTATTTTTATAACTTTCTTTATATCTCTCTTATTTACTGATTTATTTTACCTTGTTTCATATATAACACTTAAATAAGCTTTGAATTAGACAAAGATATTGATACAGCTCCAACGAGTAGAGGAACACCTGGGTTCTTGGTCTTGCACCAGTTTGGATAAAAGGGCACAGACACACGTGGAATGGTTTTAAGGAGCAAAAAGTTTAATAGGCAAGAAAGGACGGAAGAAGAAAACAGCTCCCCTGTACAGAAACAAAGGGAGGGTGGATTCGAATAGAGAGAAAAACCTGTGTGGGGTGGAAAAGTGGCTGCTTATATGTGGAGGCTGGAGGAGGTAGTGTTTGATTTGCATAGGGCTCAGGGGATTGGTTTGATCAGGCATGTCATTCATGTAGCCCGTGAAAAAACTGGCCCTCTCACCTTAGCCTTTTAATATGCAAATACAGGGCGCTGTGATGTTCTACACACATGGGGATATGTGGGGGTGGCCATGTTGCCAGGCACATGTGTGAACAAGGAAAAGACAGCGGGAATAGCTATGTTCGGGTGGACCCAGTTTCTAATGACTTGAATTTGCATATCAAAGCTTGCTGGCCTGGCTCTAAGAGCCAGGGCTTTCCTGATAGACAAGAAACATTTCTGGAGCTACTTTAAATGAAACAAAAACTTTCCAAACCCCTTTTCCTATCTGCCTAAAAACACTGTTTTTAACAATATTTTACCATTAGGAACATTAAAAAATGTTTTTCTATAATTCTTAAATTGGAAATTGCCCAGATACTTAATGTCAATTAATAACCTTAGATCCTAAACTAGGACAAGTTAGTTTACAAGCATTTATTCCATTACATTTACCTGATTGAATTTTATACTTTACCTAGATTATTTATTAAAAAACGAGGTCAGGAGATCGAGACCATCCTGGCTAACATGGTGAAACCCTGTCTCTACTAAGAAAAAAATACAAAAAAATTAGCCTGGTGCGGTGGGGGGTCGCCTGTAGTCCCAGCTACTTGAGAGGCTGAGGCAGGAGAATGGCGTGAACCTGGGAGGCAGAGCTTGCAGTGAGCTGAGATCGCGCCACTGCACTCCAGCCTGGACAGAGCAAGACTCCCTCTCAAAAAACAAACAAACAAAAAAAACTGTGATAGCCAATATTTAAAGTTATTTTTCTACTAACCATTTTTGTAGCTGTGAATTTCAGGTATTTACTTAAGTAAAAAAACTTACGGTTGGTTAGTTTTAAGGGTATGAGGGACTAAGTGGCTAAGTTGGCTGGACTTCCTGGGTCAATATGGACTTACCGAAGGGGCTTTCCCATAAGCCAAAATAAGTCATAGCTGCAAGCTAAGGGATTGAAACTTCAACCAATCAAAAAGGACTTTCCCCTAAGCCAAAATGAGTCACAGATGCAAGCTGTGGATTGAAACTTCAACCAATCATACAGGGAGTTTAAGCTCTAGCTGCAGCCTGACGTTTTTAACTAATCAGGCCCGCAAACCCACAAGCGGACTGAAAATAAGCTAATTCTATAGGACAGAAAAAGGAAAAAAGGAAAGGTCATAAGGGGATATAAGCATAAGACACCCAAGCCAGAAACAGCAACCCTTCTAGGTCCCGTTCCAAGTGGAAACTTTACTTTTACTTTCACTTTCGCTTTCGCTTTACTTTCGCTTTCACTTTAATCTTGCCACCGCACACTCGTTGGGTACACGCGTTTCTCCAGTCAAGCTGTAACACTCACCACCGCGGTCCACGGATTCATTCCTTGAAGCCTGTGAGGCCACGATCCCTTCAATTGAGAAAAGACCTTTGATAGGGAGAAGACTTCTCATCTCAGGTATTTATACCAATAATTCAGCATTTAGCTGTTTTCATTTAAGCCAACAATATTTCATAAGCATATACAAGCAAAGATTATTCTGTCTTGGGCTGGGTTTTATAGCTTATAACCCTTATGGCAAATCTTATAGTATTTTGCAGAAATAAACAGGGAACCACTTGATCAATAGATGCAAACAAAATGCTAACATTCTGAAGACATTGCTGATATTATCTTACTAATAATTTTAAAGCCTGCTTATTTAGTAAAGATTTCACTTAAGTCACGTGAACTTGAAAAATCATTTGACTAGTTTTTCTTTTTTTAAAGCCAATTAATTAGAGCTCTTCATATATTTTTAGTAGTGAAAATATTGTGTACACAGACATAAATAAATAGACGTATTTAAGCATGCTGATAGAAGTATTTTATAGATTCATGAAAGACTTCCTTTTCCCACTTATTTTCTATTTTGGAAGTTCTTGATAATATGTTACATCACCCTAGGCAGTTGTCAGCTAAGTAGCCCTAAATTTGCATATTAAAGGAAACAACTCAGGTGAAGATCAGAGAGCAGAATTTACATCATAAGGTATGGGGAGAAAGTCTGGTGTGCTAGAGGGAAATTAAAATAGATTCAATTGCCAATTGAACATAACATTATAGAAGTCTATTATAAAGGTCTTTAAATACATACACACACATACAAACAGAAACTTCCCATAGCTATTACTTCAGTACTTTAGCCATGAGATATATTCAACTTTGCCAGGTTTCAAAAAACACTGTTAGTTCCGAACAGTGGTTTTTATCTCAGTAGAAAAGTAATAGCAGTTTTAAAGCATGCAGGAAAGAAAATAGAGAATGAGAACTTAGAAACTCTATAGTTTCCAGGTCGACCTTAGGACTCTTTGGCCTTAATGTAAACTGTGCACAAAGACCATATTACTTCAAGTAGAGGTGCCATTAAACTTACAGAGTGCTCTAAAGGGGGGTCATTCTCCTGGTTTTCTCTTTATTCTTAGTTAATTCCGAGAGAAAAGCAATTGAGAAGACTCTTTAGAAATGCATCTCTGAACTTGAATTAGGATCCTTAAACAACACCTTCCCAGGAAAAAAAAAAAAAGCTTAGAATAAACCAAGGACTGTCAACCAAAGGGAAGTCCAGGGTTCAAGAGGACTAACCATTTTCACTGGAGGAGAAGCTTGAACTCGGTTGGCCTTCATTGGGCCCCTGCTAGTACCTTAGCTCCCATTTCAAGCAACTCCTCTGGGGTCCTGATTCTTCTCTGAGGCTCCATGTGTTTGGGCGCCAGATTATTCTCGATGAAAAGAGTCAAACTCTGTAAAATATTTGAAGAGATTTATTCAGAGCCAAATATATCCGTGGCCTGTGACACAGCTCTCGGGAGGTCCTTGACAACATTTGCCCAAGGTGGGGGTATAGCTTGGTTTTATATATTTTAGAGAGGCATGAGACATCAATGAAATACATTTAAGAAAACCATTAGTTTTGTTCGGAAAGGCGGGACAACTCAAAGTGGGGGCTTCCAGGCTATAGATCAATTTAAAGACTTTCTGGTTGACAATTGGTTGAGTTTATCTGAAGACCTAGGATCAATGGAAAGGAATGTTTAGGTTAAGGTAAAGAATTGTGGAGACAAAGTTTTATTGTGCAGAGCAGCCTCTCAGATACCAGACTTTAGAGAGAGGGCAGGTTGTAAAATGTTTCTTATCAGACCTAAATGGGTGCCTGGCTCTTAGTTGGTTATCTTCTGGAACTGCAAAGAAAGGAAGGAAAACAAAGGGGAAAGAAGATTCTCTGTAGAATATGGATATTTCCCACAAGATACTTTGCAAGGCAATTTAAAGGTATGGCAAAAGAAAATATTTTGAAGTTAAATATTTTTTTCTTCTGTCATAATGTTATGCTAGAGTTAGATTGAAAAGTAAGTCATGATAGGGTCAAATAAAACCCACCTGATGAGAATTTATGGTTTGCCGGGCATGATTCCGTAGGCCCCTTAGGTAGGAGCTTGGGCAAGATAAAAAATCAGAGTTTAGTCCTCACTATCTATGTCTATCTATGCTTATTTCTGATTTTTAACTCCCTATCCCACCTGCACATTTCTTACATAGCTGAATGTTGGATATTTATGTTATCATTATGTTTTTATGCACATAAACTGGCTCAGACAGGAGTAATATCAAGGTCTGTCAACCATATTTTATTGTTTTGAGTTACCCCAATTAATATCAGTAAAGATACTGATGAAATTCTATGAAAACCCTCCTTTTGTTTGAGACAGAGTCTTGCTCTGTCATCCAGGCTGGAGTACAGTGGTGTGATCTCAGCTCACTGAGGCCCCTACCTCCTGGGTTCAAGTGAGTCTTCTGCCTCAGACTTCCAAGTAGCTGGGATCACAGGTGTATGCCACCACACCTGGCTAGTTTTTATATTTTTAGTAGAGACAGGGTTTCACTATGTTGGCCAGGCTGGTCTTGAATTCCTGACCTCAAGTGATCCATCTGCCTCTGCCTCCCAAAGTGCTGGGGTTACAGGTGTGAGTCACCTCACCAGGACCTATGAAAGCCCTTTTTAAAAAAGTTCTGGAGAACACAGTAAAATTTGTTTTTTGGTTTGTTTTTGTTGTTGTTTCTATTTCATTGAGTTCTCCATTTCCCAGATCCTGTATAGAATATTTCTGTAAAGAGATTTAAGAAGATACTAAAACTCAATCAATTTAGGAAACGTTTCAATAATTTAGTATGAATATAGTGTTTGATAGAATGTAAAATAGAGCAACCTCCCTCATACACATACAAAGACAGTTTTCAATATTTTAAAATACCATGGTCATGTCATCTAGGGTGACAACTCCAGCTACTCAGTGATCCTGAGCCCACTATTCTTTTGAATAGAAGAACTATTTAGTTCAGCAAAATGCATTATGCCGGGCAATATGGTGGCTGTTGGGAATAATGTACTAGACAATGTATCTTTTTAAAGAAAATATTTAGCCTAAAGGTAAATACAAAAATCAAAAGCAAAAGCAGTTATACATATATAAAAACAGAGTAAATGTTGATTACAAGGTATATAATTATATAGCAGTATAAAAAGCAAAAAGAGTTAAGTCAATGCTACATATCTCTAAAGAATTTGCAGAGGAAGTCATGTTTAATAACAGATATGAAGAAGAATTTTAACTTATTTAGACTATATTTGAGTTTATAATATTGCAGACAAGAGAATATAACTCTGGGAGGCCGAGGTGGATGGATCACCTGAGGTCAGGAGTTCGAGACCAGCCTGGCCAACATGGCGAAATCCAGTCTCTACCAAAAATACAAAAATTAGCCGGGCGTGGTGGCAGGCACCTGTAATTTCAGCTACTCAGAAGGCTGAGGCTGGAGAATCACTTGTACCCAGGAAGCAGAGGTTGCAGTGAGCCGAGATTGCAGCATTGCACACCAGCCTGGGTGACAAGAGTGAAACTCTGTCTCAAAAAAAAAAAAAAAAAAGGAAAAAAAAAAGCGGGAATATAACTATGTCTCTGAGTCAGGAGAAAACCTATGTTTGAGAACCTGAATAGAAAAGCATAAGAATTAAGGGGATTGTGGCACATGGTGAGATGTAGTGAGGAGCTAGATGAAGCAAGATGTTTTAGATCATTTTAAGAATAATGGATTTTTTTTCTTAAAAAATAATTGAGAAAGTTTTAAGATGCGACGTGACATTCTATGATTTTCATTTCTAGACATTTTGCAACATGGGTGATCATTTTGAAGGTGTCAAGAATGGGTACTAAAATAGAAAATAAAAAGCTGTTAAAATATTGCAATTGAAGAAAATTGGTAGCCTGGAAGAAGCTAACCTATTTTCAGTCCATTAATATTTTCTTCACATTTTAATATTTGGAAAGGTAATGTTCAGTTTTTTCAGAGACAAAAATCAACCTTTATAAAATGTTTATTTAATGGGTCAGCAAATCTGAAATTGTGAAGCTTTGTTTTATATTTGAAAGATTTAAAGTGATTACAATTAGTTGTCCCTATGAAATTGATTACATGTCTTTCCCTGCAAAAAGCCAATCCACACATAATTATAAAAGAGGTAAAATTACCTTAAATTTAAATAGCAGCTCCTAGAATAATAAAGCTTTACTATAAATGAATTATAATCATAGCATCCATAAAAAAAAATGTGCATCAATTGATCATACAAGCCATTTGCCAGAGTAGTACCACAGAGGTTACTTAGTAGAATGTGGATTTTTGCTACAGCTATGTCATCTACTAACAATTTAAACTCGGGTAGGTAGTATGGTTTGGATCTCTGTCCCTACCCTAATCTCATGTCAAATTGGAGGAGGGAACTGGTGGGAAGTGATTGGATAATAAGGAGGGTTTCCCCCTTGCTGTTCTCATGATAGTGAATGAGTTCTCATGAGATCTGATAATTTAAAAATGTGTGGCATTTTATTCTTCTCTCTCTCTCTCTCTCCTACTCCACCATTGTAAGATGTACTTGATTCCCTTTTACCTTCCTCCATGGTTGTAAGTATCCTGAGGCCTCCTAGCCATGATTTCTGCACAGCCTGCAGAACTATGAGTCAATTAAAGTTCTTTTTTTCATAAATTACCCAGTCTCATGTAGTTATTTATAACAGTGTGAAAAAAAAATTAAGACAGAAAATTGGTACCAGGAGATTGGGACACTGCTATAAAAATACTTGAAAGTATCAACTTCTGAACTGGGTAACAGACAGAGGGTGGAACAGTTTGGAGGGCTCAGAAGAAGACAAGAAGATGTGGGAAAGTTTGGAACTTCTTAAAAATTTGTCGTTTTGTTTTGACCAAAATGCTGATAGTGATATGGACAATAAAGTCCAGGCTGAGATGGTCTCAAATGGAGATGAGGAACTTACTGGGAATAGGAGTAAAGGTGACTCTTGCTATGCTTTAGCAAAGGGACTAGAGACATTTTGTCCCTGACCTAGAGACCTTTAGAACTTTGAACTTGAAAGAGATGATTTTGGGTATCTGGCAGAAGAAATTTCTAAGTAGCAAAGCATTCAAGATGGACCCTGGCTTTTTCTAAATGCATACAGTCATATGCTTGAAGAAAGAGATGGTCTGAAATTGGAACTTACATTTAAAAGGGAAGCAGAGCATAAAAGTTTGGAAAATTTGCAGCAAGGCAATGTGGTAGAAAAGAAAAACCCAATTTTGGGGGAGAAATTAAAGCCTGCTGCAGAAATTTGCATAATTAAAGAGGAGCTGAATGCTAATAGCCAAGATAATAGAGAAAATGTCTCTAGGCCATGTCAGAGAACTTTAGGGCAGCTCATCCTATCACAGGCCTGGAGGCCTAGGAGAGAAAAATGGTTTCTTGGGCCAGACTCAGGGCCTGTTTGCTTTTTGTAGCCTCAGGACATGGCATCTTGTGTCTCAGTCATTTGAGCTCCAGCTGTGGCTAAAAGGGGCCAACATACAGCTCAGGCCATTGCTTCATAGGGTGTAAGAAGCCCCAAGACTTGGTGGCTTCCCCATGGTGTTGGGTATGCAGGTACACAGAAGGCAAGAGTTGAGGTTTGGGAACCTTGACCTAGGTTTCAGAGGATGTGTGGAGACACCTGGATGTCCAGGCAGAAGTCTGTTGCAGGAGCAGAGCCCTCACAGAGAATCACTAGTAGGGCAGTGTAGAGGGAAAATGTGAGGTTGGAGGCCCCATACAGAGTCCCAACTGGGGCACTGCGTAGTGAAGCTGTGAGAAGAGGGTCACTGTTCTCCAGACCCCTGAATGGTAGATCCACTGACAGCTTGCACCACATGCCTGGATAAGTCAAGAAGAAGTCAACACCAGCCCATGAAAGCAGTGGCAGGGTGTTCCCTGATGAGCCATGGGGGCAGAGCTGCTCAAGACCTCAGAATCCCACCTTTTGCATCAGTGTGCCTGGATGTGAGACATGAAGACAAAAAAGATTGTTTTGGAGCTGTAAGATTTAATGACTGCCCTGCTGTGTTTTGGACTTGCATGGACCCTGTGGCCCCTTTGTTTTTACTAATTTCTTCCATTTGGAATGGGAGCATTTACCCAATGCCTGTAACCCCATTGGATCTTAAAAGTAACTAACTTGTTTTTGATTTTGCTGACTCATACATGTATGGGACTTACCTTTTCTCAGATGAGAGTTTGGACTGTGAACTTTTGAGTTAATGCTGAAATGAGTTATCCCTGGGGGACTATTGAGAAGGGATAATTATACTTTGCAATGTAAGAAGCACATGAGATTTGGGAGGGGCCAGAGGAGGAATGATATTGTTTGGATTTGTGTCCCTGCCCAAATCTCATCTTGAATTTGAAGATGGGCCTGGAGGGAGGTAATTGAATTATGTGGGCAAATTTTCCCCTTGCTCTTCTCATGATAGTGAGTTATCATGGGATCTGATGGTTTCAAGGCATGTGGTACTTTTCCCTTCTATCTAACTCTCTATCCTACTCCTCCATAGTAAGATATGCTTGATTCCCCTTCAGCTTCTGTCATGATTGAAAGTTTCCTGAGGCCTTCTAGCCATGCTTCCTGTGCGGCCTGTAGAACTGTGAAGCAATTAAATCTCCTTTCTCCATAAATTACCCTTTCTCAGGTAGTTCTCTATATCAGTGTGATAATGGATGAGTACAGTAAGTCACTTGACCTTATGAATAAGTTTCTTTATATCTAAAATGTCAATAGTAAAAGCCCTCAATTGCAGGGCTGTTGTGAGGATTAAATAACATATCATGTGTGACAGCTTAGCAAAGTGCCCACATGTATACAATTGGCATAAATGAGTTACTAATGAAAACATGGCAATTTCCATTCAGACATTTTCCAGAAGATAACATGTATTCTTTCCATAGAATAATTTATTTATTCACTACACATTAATAAATTGTGAATCTGGATTTATCCTTCAGATGTTGTAAATTAGTGTAATAGGAGGGATGAAACATTTGAGAGATAAATCTACTTGTGGTGGGATGGCTAGTCTGTCTCTGTGGCAGGAAAACCAATGTCATAGCCCAGATAACAATAAATGCAAAAGAGCAATGCCACCAATAAAATATCTCTGAGCAAGCAGCCACAATTATCTTGGTATCATACTTCCAATTTTCTTACCTTTTTTCCAGACAAAGTTTTTACAATAGCAGATTTAAAAGGGAATGCTGGTTTAATTATATTAATAATCATCTCTATTCAACTACAAGTGTATATTTATTATAACCATAAAATAATATTTAATATATACACAGTGATGCTATGATGCATTTATGATCATATTTGCTACTCACAAAAGCAAAATATATTTGTGATTTCATTTTCTCTTAGTGTAAGACTTTCAACTTTTGTATTAATTGCAGGAAATAATGACCTAACCCTTCACTTCTCTATAAAATGTGCACTTAAATTCAATTTATATATATAAAATTGTAGTATAAAATCATCAAGTTAGAAATTCAGATATGAAAGCAAATTTGTCACTTTGTACTTGACCTTTTTTGAATAGCACTACTGAATGGCCTCTCATTTTCAAGCCAAATACACACAGTCATACTGTGAATAAAATACATTATGAATAAATATATTAATGTAATATCTATATCTAAACATTGAATACAGCTGTATAATATCAGTGTTTAATATGTATATAATATTAAGTGTTAATTTAATATGTACATTCAGTTTGTCATTTTTTTTTTTGGCAAGCCTAACTTTTACAATTTTGCAATGCAGAATTGAATTTTTTATTTCCAACTTCCCTACCACCTAAATGAAATGAGAAAGACTATTATATCTTCAATTTGGTGTAATTCATGGCATATTGCTGGTACTTTTTATTTGCCATATATATCTTTTCCATATTAAAGACTATGAAAGATAAACCTAGATGTATTTTATGTAATGGCAAAAAAATAACTTGAATAATAGTTCACGATTTTATATATTCAAACACAAATATTTACGTTAGCCCTGCTATTTGTATATAATAGATTTCTCAGAGTTTTTCAAATGTGTGTCTGTATTTAATCATCTATTTTATAGAAGAATATTTTTACCATAATTATCACTATGATTTAAAAATAATAAAAACAGTGAAGATAACAGCACTGATGTTCTGTAATGATTGTTAGATCTCATGTATAAATAGAATTTATTCTAGCTGTTTTTTTCTTTTTGATCAAGACTGCATTTCATATGTGATCTGCAATGTTAAAAGGAATAATTACATATGGTTCTAAACAAAAATCTTGAATAATTTGTTTCTTAATGTGTGATATCATTGGCAATAACTTAGCTAGTTTGTTCTCTAACGGTTGCACTTATATTTTAAAAACATATTAACGCAAGAATCATGCACTAAAATATCTTATTTGCATACAAAGCATATTGACTCAAATTGACATACTAATTTATTTTTGTTGTAAAGGGAAATATGAGAGCTTGGTATTTATACTTTTCTGTCTGTTTCTTTAGAATATGATTTTTAAAAGTAGCTGTCAGTAAAGAAAGTTTAGATGTCAATCAGAAAATATCCTGTAACACCATGAGCTATACTGATGATTTTATTAATTTAATGGAAAATTACAGGACAAGCAGTACTGTAGAATTACTGTATGATACAAAGGACTAGATAATAAAATTAATTTTTTTTCTGATCCAAGGATTGGTTATTTAGGAGTAATTTTTTAGGCTGGATGTGGTGGTGCATGCCTCTAATCCCAGCACTTTACAAAGCCACAGCTGGTAGATCACCTGAGCCCAGAGTTCAAGACCAGCCTGGGCAACATAGTGAGACCCCATCTCTACAAAAAAAAAAAAATTTTAAAGCTTGGATGGTGGGCATGCACCTGTGCTCTGAGCTACTTGAGAGCCTGAGGTAGGAGGATCATTTGAGCACAGGAGGTCAAGGCTGCGGTGAGCCATGACTGGGCCACTACACTGCTTTAGCCTGGGCAACAAAGCAACACCCTATCTCAAAAAAAAAAAGTAATTGTTAAAGTACAAATAGTTGCATTTAAAAAGTATAAGCAATTATTAGGGCAATTATATTTGCAAAATCATATCATATGTTAGTGTGTGTGCATATATATACATATATGTATGTAAGTCTACAAAATATTGTCACAAAATACATTACTTTTATCAGCTGGTACTGTATACCACAAAAAATGCAGAAAAAATATAGACTGAGCTATCATTTAGAACATTAGATTATATTGATAATATCTTTAGGTATCGGGGTCCAAAACTAGGCTAGTTTTCTACCTAATTAAAAATAATTCATTTTCATCAAATATCTTTATATATAAAATTATATTTTCTCACAGCAATATTTTACAATCAACTCCCCTATTATTACCATACCAATTTATGCCCCAATAATGTTCCTGATAAACATCAGGAACATTTTCAAGGCATGGGTGGCGTAACCTTTGCTTTTTTTTTTTTTTTTTTTTAGATGAAGTTTCACTCTTGTTGCCCAGGCTGGTGTGCAGTGGCACGACCTCTGCTCACTGCAACCTCCGCCTCCCGGGTTCAAGTGATTCTCCTGCCTCAGCCTTCCTAGTAGCTGGGATTACAGGCATGTGCCACCATGCCCGGCTAATTTTTCTATTTTTAGTAGAGACGAGGTTTTACCATGTTGGCCAGGCTGGTCTTGAACACCTGACCTCAGGTGATCCGCCCGCCTTGGCCTCCCAAAGTGCTGGGATTACAGGCGTGAGCCACTGCGCCTGGCAGGGTGGCGTAACCTTTGAACTGAATGCAACAAATGAAATTTTAACTTATAGTTTTCAGTCATTAAGCACTGTAATTCTGTGATATATTTTCCAGATTAATGTGAATATTTTTCCAAAGACAACAATCGAGATGACCTCCATTTCGAAAATCAATAGATCAAAGGAATGTTGATGGTTAGTGTTTTCAAGGAATAGGAATGGAGACAGTGGATTTAGAGTAAACATTGGTGTTCTCATTAGTTAGCAAAAGTGAAAGTAAAATATTCTAAAATAAAATAGAAGAAAGTTGCTAGTGAATATTAACTTTGTTGTTAAATACATGCATTATCAGAGAGGGCTTTTTATAAGGACCAAATGCTGGTGAACACCGGGAAATAATATAAAGCAAAACAGAGTTAATTTCAAACAGTCACTGCTAGAAGTAGGCTGACCAGCTCCTCGAGCCAACTGAAGTGCTTTCAAGATTGAGGCATCAGAAAATTGAGGCTTTATGTAAAAATATTATTTCATCTGTGAAATCACATTTTCCTCCTTAGAATAATTTCTGAAATCAGTTTTTGAATTCTTTCTCAACCACATTTTTACGTCTGAAAACCACAGAACATTAAAATGACAAAAAAGGTGATTATTTTCTCGCTTCTCCAAAGGATGGCATAATTACAGAGGCTGATTTAAAGCAAAAGTCCTGTACAATAAAGAAAAGATAATTCCTCAAATTGCCCGTGAAATATAAAAGTTTTTATGAACACAAAATTTTTGATTTACTGAATTAGATTAAAGGAATTTTGAAAAGAATGGCGTATTCACAAATATCTGGGCACTCATTTCTTTCAGCTTTTAAGAAAGGTATCATTCTAAAGGTTAGTGTATGATGTAAAGAAAAATTTGCAATGTTTCTCTTTACAGTTTATATTATCTTACATTGATACTAATTAATCTTATTTATGTTGCAAAGATTGAAATAGCTAATACAGTATATCCTTATCTGGAGGTGAAGAGGAAAATACTAAAATTGTGTGCAAACTAACTGCAGAATTTCTAATCATCTATATGTTATTTTTCTAAAGGCAATAAAATGTGATTAAATTATAATATCAGGATTTTTTGCAGGTAATTTCTCTTAAAAAAAGCTGATCTCTAAGCTTTTTGTTGGGTCATGTTTACTACCATATTTTTTATTTAAATTGCCACTCAAAACCAATTTTTTATTATTACTGTTGTCTATTTTAAGACATAAAAAATATATACACACTTTCTCATCGAATTAAAGTCAACATACTGTTTTGACGCACCCAAATGCTAGGCAATAAAAACAAAGTTTGTAGCTGACCTGGTAGCTACAAAGAGCTCCTCTGCTCATGACATCTCATTTCATACAATTTTGTTTCGTTAGTTCCTCAGTTATTATTTTGTCTTTCTTATGTAAAAATACCAATTCAGTTATTATGTTTTCCCTAACCATGCCAGCTTGCAGCACTCATCCACCAGTGAACTTATATATGCCATGCTTTCATTATTATTCAAACCATTTGATGCTATTAAGTGTAATTATTTTAATCTTTGTTATATATATTTTTACAGATATCCCACATACATTGTAATTTTTTTTCAGGGTATCCCTCCTCTATTGAATATTCTGGACTCTCCCCAGGATTCTGAAGATTACCATGTACGTCTAAATGTTTCAGTAATTGTTTATCAATGGGTTATCCGAGTCATTAGTGAGGGCATTGCTGAAACGATAAGACCATAGTGGTGATGGTATAGTTTTTTTAGAGTCCGTAATAGCAAGCCAATTTATACTTTATTGTATCCAACACATTTTGTCACAGTAAGTAACCCTCAAATCATGTAATGTTGGATTAGAAATTTGGAAGAGATCAATATTATTCACCCTTCTATTTTTTAAATCTGTAAGTACTTTTGCTTCTATCCTCTATTATATGTCAGCTATATTTCATTTATTATTACATATAAATTAGAGCTTTTATGTCCTCTGTATCTACATTTCTTTAAAGTTTTAACATCATTTTCAATAGAACTACAGTATGTATTCCTATCAACAGATCAAACATGATTTTTTTCTCCTTATCATGGGTTGAGTGCATTGCATTATCGATGTTATCACATGCAATCCATAGTTACGTTTATCTTTATTCTTCTTTTATACAAATAACAGATTGCAAGAGAATTTATGATTTCATTGTTCATGCTTAAGGCTTTTTTTCACAATTGATGGCTCACACACATCAAAGAATATTGAAATTCATTTTCATGATGCCCCTCGTCTTTTGCAATAAGCCATATCACCTTTACCTTACACTGCAGATAAAAATGATTGGCAGACAAGACAACCATTTACCATTTATTTGAAGGTCAACTTCATATTTTCAAAAATGTTAGCTGCCACTAGAGAACAGTGTTTGCTTTTAAAAAATAAAGCATTGCAAAATTTGTAGAGTAATATAGTTGATGCTTAACTTGCTATTTTCATAGATTGGCATCAATACCAGAAATAAAAAAATATATAGGAATTATATAGAGGAGGCTGGGCATGGTGGCTCACATCTGTAATCCCAGCACTTTGGGAGCCCAAGGTGAGCAGATCACTTGAAGTCAGGAGTTCAAGACCAGCCTGGCCAACATAGTGAAACCTCATCTCTACTAAAAAATACAAAAATTAGCCAGGCATGGTTGTGTGTACCTGTAGTCCCAGCTACTTGGGAGGCTGAGGTGGGAGAATCGCTTGAACCTGGGAGGCAGAGGTTGTGATGAGCTGAGATTGCGCCACTGCATTCCAGCCTGGGCAACAGAGCGAGACTCAGTACCCTGCCCCCGCCAAGAAAAAGAATTATATAGAGGAAATTTACATGGATCATTGTAAATATCCCCATTGTTTGTAAATAAACAAACTATAATAGATTAATTGAATCTATATTGCTTGTTTATAATCAGTGATTTCACATTATAGAGTAGAGAAAGAAACATCTAGTTTAACATTCTATTATTAGTTTTTTTAATCTTGAGGAAGTTACTTGTATATTTTATCAATGTCCTCATCTGTAAAATATGGGCGATAAAAATAATAAATTTAGAAGGGTTGTGTATATAATCAATTAGTTTATTTCTGAAGATTCTTTACATATTGATTATCACATAAAGACTAAATGTCAACAGTAATAATAATAAATTATATTTTCTTAGAAGAAAGATTTTTAGTAAATCTATGTTTATCTATATTGTTATTGAAAAGACACACTAATGGCTTCTAAAAGCTTAATTATGACCACAAATATTTAACATCATCCAGCTAAGCCATTCCACTTTGATGCACTATTGACTTTCCTAGGGATATTATTCCTAAAATTTGTATTTAAACATGAATTATTTTGGATTTTGCTACTCAATCAGAAATTCTACTTGATTTAACTGTAAAAAAGACATAATCAATGTCGTTTTAGAATACAGAAAGAATGAAAGAAAAATTAAAATAATTATTTCAATTAATAGTTCTATCCCTTTGATCAGTTAAAAACAGAGACACTATTAAGGCCATCCTCAAATAAGTAGTCATCATGCTTGACATCATTTATTGAAGACTTTACTTATCATAACTTTAGACTACAGAATAAATACAATCAGTTTTTAGAACAATCCACGTGGTGTAAGATACATTTGTATTTTCTATGGTTGAAATGTGCTCCTGCCAATTGTAGCTGAAAGAAAAATACTGATTTTAATTCTGGTTTATTTAAACACAAAAGAGTTTTCTTGTTTTCAAAAATTAATTTATAGGATATGAACAATGAATACACATATTTTGTTCAGATTTTTCATGACTTCACATTACTGCTATAGAAAAAAATCTTGCATTTAATAAGTTAGAAATTTATTAATTTCAAATATTTTTCTTGCTTTAGAATACAACACTTCAATACACCCTCAAAAGAGAAATACTATGTCTCTTATGCCAAAGAAAGCATTTTAAAATCCGAAAACATTAATAATCTTATGTTGCATGAAGTAATAAACTTTTGCTAAAAATGTGAGGGATGGGTCATTAAGAAATCCTTTTTTTCTCACATATGCCCCACGTTTAACCACAGGCCTTCTGCCCATCACCGATCTCCCACCCCCAGCTCCCATTTTTCTTATATAATAAATAAATAGCATTTTATGGAACACATTCTGGAGCCATATCGATTATCAATTTAATTATTACAATGACAGTAGCTATGGTCTTACTAAATTTCAGATGATTTCTCTAAGAGTTTATAGTAAAGAAACTAAAAGCAAGCCTATTTATTTCAAAGTCACAAATGCTACAGATTTCATTTTTCCAGATCATACAGGAACAAAGGATAAATTCCCACATTAATAACAAGATATTTTGTTAATAATCTGGTATAAAGCAAATCACGATTCACCAAACTTTCTATAAAGAAACAAGATTAAACTGGCAGTAAACTTTAAAAGATGTGAATCAAACTGCAGAGAATCTGCACCTGTGTTGCTGCATCTTCCAAATGGTCCCGTATTTAATGCCTGCTTCGAAATCATGTGAATAGTTTGTTAAAACAAAAAGTATTTTCCTGTATCTTTCTTTAAATCTATTCAATCAAACTTAAGTTTAATTAAATAGGCCCAGAAATTTGTTTTAAACTCTCATCCCAATTGATTCTTACGCACACATTAGATGAAGCATTGCTGCCTTTATAAATAGAAAAAACATGCAATTTAAAACATATATATATATAATTTATATTTATATGTAGATAACCTATCATGCTTTAAAAATATCATTATGGCTTAGATATGGTTTGTGTACCTTCATCAAAACTTATATTGAAATTTGTTACTCAATGTGGTGGTGGTTGGGAGGTGTGGCTAGTGGAATGTATTTGGGCCGTTGGGGTGGATTTCTCAGGAGAGGCTTGGTACTGCTGTGCTTGTAGTGAGTGAGTTCATCCTCTGGTGAGATCAGGTTAGTTCTCCAGAAAATGAGTTAGTTCCTATGAGACTGGGTTGTCATAAAACCAGGGTGCCCTACGGTTTTCTCTCTTCACATGTGTCTAGGAGAAGTAATTCCCCATTGACCATCTTTGCCATGTTATGACATAGTACAAAAGGCCTTTTCAGAAGTCAGGACTATGCCCTTAAACTTCTGAGAGTGATAGAGCCTTGAGATAAATAAGCCTCTTTTCTTTATCCAGTCAGAGCAACAAAAATATACCATGACAAATGCTGTATTTTATATTTTTCAAGTGAGGCAACATTTTGATAGGTAATATTATACCTTCATGTTCAAATAAAGTTTGCATCAATATTAATGATATAATATACACAAATATTCTAAAATGTCCAGAGTATTTTAAATAATTAAATGAATTTACGTAAAGAAATAGTCTAAACCCAGTGTCTCAGGAAAGAACACATTTTTTAAAACCTGTAATCCTTATTTTGAATTTGTGTTTATTCTCTGTGTTTGTATTTTGATTGAGGAAAAAATCTTAGAATTAAGTGAGCTTAAAATTTTCAATCAGCTTCATTCTAACACTAGGAGTAAGAGAAACATAAACAAAAATAAAATATATTTTATGCTCGTCTTCCAGTTTGGGGGACAGACAGTGTGGCTGGCACTTAAGATACAGCTAGATGTGATGCAATAAATTCACCTATTTAGACCTAAAATTGGAGAATGATTTAAGTTCATTTGTATCCTATTATAATGCATACACAATTTAAATTTAGCCTAATGAAACATTTTAGGAAATTAGTAGATATAGGAATGAAATTTTAGATATAGTTAATATATGAGAAAAAAAGATAAGTATGACAATTACTAAGGAATAGTATTTTAGCGATATCTATGCAAAGAGTATGAATCTTATTAAAAATGGAAAAATGGACATTTAACTAAAGTCAAAAGCCACCTTCAATAATTGGCAGACTGCCAGGCATATAAAATGATATGCTAGGGATTAATTGGCAAAGAGAGACTGGATGGAGTGCAATGACTTCAAAAGAAATCTACTTCTCAGAAATGTAGTGAGGCACACAGGAAAAATAACATGGAGAGTCACCTCTGCAAATACATAAATTGAAGTCTCCATTTTCTTCTTCATTTGAGCTGCCAAATGTTCGCAGGGAAACTTGCCTCAGGGAAAAATCTAAGAATTAACATATATGTAGCAATGTCTGTTCTCTCAGATAATATATTAACATAAAAAATTTCCCTGAAAGATGTGTAAGTAGAGCCAACCAAAAAGAACATAAAAATTGTTTTAGATTAGTATTTTGTTGTTGTTTTCAAAGAGCTATTTAAAATTTCTGTGTAATACCTGTTTTACTTGCCTAAAATATAACTTTGCGGGATGAAATCACATTTCATTGGTTACTATGGTAGGCTACTAATGGCCCCCATATGGTGTCCAAGTGTAAATATCCAGAACCTATGAATGTTCCCTCTTATAGCATAAGTTACACTGCAGATTTGATTAAGTTAAGAATCTTGAGTAGCAAAGTTTTCTCCTGGATCATTAAGGTTCATCTGACATAATCACAGGGGTCCCCATAAGAACAGGCAGAATATTAGAGAGGAGAGGCTGATGTGATATGAAAGCAGAGAATGGATGGATACACTTTCAAGATAGAGAAAGGGGCTATAAGCCAATAAAGCCCCTAGCAGCAGAAAAAGACAGGCAAACAGATTCTTCCCTCTGAGCCTCCGAGAACATAAGCTCTGCTGCCACCTTGAAACTGATTTCAAACTTCTGACCTTCAGAGCTGTCGGAGAATAAATGTGTGTTCGTTTAAGACGCTAAGGTTGTGGTGATTTGTTACAGCAGCGAAGGGAAACTAATGCAGTAATCAAGCAAAAACCCCATTATTATTAATTTTTGAAAGCCTATCATTTTCTTCCTGTGTATTCTCCCATAGTAACAAGGACGTCCAATTATTGGAGTTGTAATTTTTGTTTGCAAATTTTTGTGTGAATTTTTGTTTTTAAACAAACAATTCTCTCAAGAGAGTTTCCTAAGAGTCTATAGCTTTGTTTTGCTTTTTTCCCTCTGCAGAACCTAGTACACTGTCCATACATGTGCAATAATGGTTCCGTAAATTTCCTAAATGAGTAGATGAATGGAGAAAAATTTAAAGAAATAAAACAGCATAAGTAAGATTTATGATTCTTTTACTAGCAGGCATAGATAAAGAAATGTTCTTTATAAGGAAAACTCTGATCAATTACAGTATGCTCCTTCCTACACACTCATAAAATAAACTTTAAAATATTACAATATCCTTGTTTTCTGGAAGTGAGTACACGTTGAAATGAAGATATATTTTCCATTAATTCTTAGTGGATTTTAAAATTTCTTTTGTTTATTGCAAATTTTCTTCATTAAAATGTAATTTTATGGGTGAGAGTGTTAAGAATTTAACTGTTTTTAGCTATTAATAATAATGCAATTATTGAAAATAAGAAATGAAATAAATTTCTGTATTTGTTGTGATCCTCAATGAAAAGACCACAGTGAAGTTCTAAGCACTGTGAAGAAGAGTGAAGAAAGAAAAGGTTTCAAACTATCATACATTTCTAAAAAAAGTTTCAGTGAAACTAATGGAGAGGCTTCAAGCCAAAGTCACCCAGTCAATCTGTCTGAAATTTCAAGGGAATAGTAGTATCTTTGTAACACTACTGTGCTCAGTTTATTTGAGTTACCCATGGAAGGTGTGCTCAGTACAAATTTGGATGTAGCAGCTAGGGATGTTAATCAATTGCTATCCTCAAAATAGGAAATGTGACAGGCATATTTTTATGGCAGTCAGTTTCTTGTATTATATATGTGACTTTTTAATGTTGAGAGTTTTTTGGATGAAAGGATTATGGATAGAAAAGGGAATTAGAACATGAACAAATGGAGACAAATAATCTGTACCAAGGAACAAAAGTAAACTGAGCTATATATCTATATATATGCCATATATATATATATGGCAGTGATTGTAAATATTACAGAAAATAGAATCAAAAAATGCATGTGTTTATACAATTGGTTTTAGGGATAACAAATCAATATTTAAATAAATAATTAAATATAAACAAATTAGAAATTCAGCTTCTTGCAAAGACAAAAGGAGAGAAAATGAATTTGCCTCCTACCTAAAACAACTGTAAAGCAGAGCAAAATATATAAACAATAATTTACAGCACTGGACATCAGACAATGAATGACACTAATCTCTAACAGGCCCAACAATTGCTGCAGTTTATTGCCTGGAAATAATTCTCCCTCCAGTAGAAATGACTTCATGGGGACTTAAAGAGCCAGTGTCCTATTTTTCCCCTTAATTTTTCTTTTCCTGTTTTGGGAGTCAGATATTAAACAGTAGAATATTTTTAAAATAAAGGCATATACAGAAAAAATTAGAAAGTGACTATAAATGTCTAGAGAGAGGTCCAGGTTCAGAAAACATTTTGAGAAAAGTGATTGCGGTTTTTGCCATTACTTTTAATAAAAAACCATAATTACCTTTGCGACAGCCTAATTTTTTTAAAGTTAAGCTGGTATAAATTCAAATTACAATGTTATAACTTTAGGATAGTAATGTAATCCTCATGACAACCCCAAAAGAAAGAGTCATTGAATATACACACAAAAACAATGAGAAAGGAGTTTAAACATTTCACTATGAAAAAAGTCCACTAAACACAAAGGAAGAAATAAATGCAGGTAATGAAGAACAAAAAGCTATAAGGCACAAAGACAATAAATAGAAAAATGAAGGAAGGAAGTCCTTCCTTAGCAGTAATTATTTTAAATGTAAATGGATTAAACTCCAATCAAAAGATAGGCAGAATGGATTAAAACAAACTATGATTCAACTATATGCTGTCTATAAGAGACTCAAGACAAACCTGCACATCCTGCCCATGTACACCGGAAAGTTGAAATAAAAGTTAAAGAAAAAAAAGAATGAAAAAAATAATTTATTGAAAGTAAAAAATGGAAACAATGTACCATGTAAACAGTTGTAAAAAAGAGAACAAAGTTGGCCATATCAATCTCAGACAATATAGATACTAAATTTAAAAAAGGTTTCAAGGATTCAAAAGATATTATATATTAATAAAAGTTTTAATTCAGCAACCAGATATAGAAATTATGAAGATTTACCCATTTAATGGCAGACCATTATAATACATAAAACTACTTGTTATAATTTAGGGGATAAATAGGCAATGGAAAACTGTAATACTGGAGGAGACTTCCATATACTACTCTAAATAATGAATAAAACAACCAGACAAAAGATAAGTGAGGAAATAAAGAACATTTTAAAAATATCAATAAATTAACTTAATCAAACAGGCATATATAAAACACTCTACCCAACAGCAACACCGTACAAATTTTTGTCAAGGGCACATAAAACATTTTACAGAATCGACCATATAATACACCATAAATTAAGTGTCAGTAGATTTTAAGAGCTAGACATCATACAATGTGTTTTCTCTAATCACAGTAAAGTTAGAAACCAATAGCAGGAGTAAAACTGAAAAATTTACAAATTTGTGGAAAATAAATAACACACGTTTAACCCATGGGTCATAGAAGAAATCACAAGGGAAAATAGAAAACATTTAGAGACAAATGAATATAAAAGCAGAGTATACCAAAATTTTTGGGATGCTGCAAAGACATAATTTAGGGGAAAATTTATAATTTTAAACACTTACATTAAAAAAATAAGAAATAAATCAACAACCTAATTTTACAACTTATTAAAATAGAAAAAAAAACAGAAAAGATAGGAAATAAAGATATTAGAGCATAGATAAATGAAAAATAATAATAGTAAAACAATAAAGAAAACCAATAAAACCAGTTGCTCCCTTGAAAAGATAAAAAACTTTTTGCTAGATTGTACGACAAACCTTTTGCCAATTAGACTAAGAAAAAAAGAGAGAAGACTAAAATTATTATCAGAGATGAAAGTGAAGAAATTACTGATAATTTTCTGGAAATAAAAAAGGATTATAAAAGAGTAATATTGATACGTATGTTAACACATTGGATTACCTAGATGAAATGGACAAATTCCAAGAAACATGAAATTCACCAAGTGTTAATCATAATGAAAAAAATGTGAATAAACCTACAACTAGTAAGGGTAGTGAATAAGTAATAAAAGTCTCCTTATAAATAAAGGCCCTAAACCTGATAGCTTCACTGGTGAAATCTATCAAGTATTTAAATAACAACACCATTCCTTCTCAAACTTTTCCAAAAATTTGAAAGTCAGGGGTCTTCCTAACTCATTCTATGATGCTAATGTTACCTGGACATCAAAGGATGCAAATCCTCCACAAAATACGGCAAACTAAATTCAGCAGCATATTAACAGAATTATATATCATGACCAAGTGAGATTTATTCCTGATTGCAAGGATAATCCAACATATAAAATTAATCAACCTAGTAGACCACTTTAATTGAATGAAATGGAATAAAATCATGATTCAATTGATGCAGAAAAAGCAGGTGACAAAACTAAAATTTTAATGATAAACACATCTGAAATACTAGAAATAAAAAGAAATAAAACTACCTAAACATAATAAAAAACATATATAAAAATATATAGCCAACATGATGAAATATGAGCGGTATTTCTCTAAGATCAGGATCTGAGCAAGGATGTTGTTCACTTTCACCACGTCTATTCAACATAGTCATTCTAGCCAGAGCAACTACCCCAAAAATAAATAAAAGACATCCAAATTGAAAAGAAAGAAGTATAATAAAATTATCGTTGTAAGCAGATTATGTAAGTTTGTATGTAGAACCCCAAAGATTTCACACAATAAATAAATATAAAACAATTTAACTAATAAATGAGATTGGAAACCTAGCAAGATAAAAAGTCAACAAGCAAAAATAAATTGCATTCTAGTCAGTAACAATGGACAATCTGAAAAGGAAATCATAAAAACAATCCCATTTAAAATATCATCAAAAATAAAATAATTAGGAATTAACACAGAAGGTCAAAGACCTGTACAATGAAAACAATAAAACATCACTGAGAGATGGTAAATAAAACATAAATAAATGGATACACATTTTATGTTCATGGATTGGAAGAATTAGTATTGCTAAGATGTCAATATTAAACAAAACAATCTACAGTTTGATGCAATCCCTCCTGAAATTCCTCCCCCCCCCTTTTTTTTTTTTTGCAGAAATAGAAAAACACATTCTAAAATTCATTTGGAATCTGAAGGGTCCTCGTATAACCAAAACTATCTTGAAAACAAAGAACAAAACTGGAATACCCACAGTTCCTGATTTCAAAAATTACTACAATTTACAGTAATCAAAACAATATTTACTGAAATACAGACAGACATATAGACCAATAAACTATGGTGAAGAGTCCAGAAATACACCCTCACATTTGGATTTTGACAAGGTTGCCAAGACCATTTAATGGGGAAATGATGGTCTTGTCAACAAATAGTGCTGAGAAAACTGGACATCCTGATGCAAAATAATAAAGTTGGACCTTTAAATAACAGCAAATACAAAAATTTAACTCAAAATGGATCAAAAACCTTAATGTAACGTGAAAACAGTAAAACTCTTAGAAAACATAGGGCAAAAGCTTTGTGATGTTGGATTGACAGTAATTTCTTAAATATAACACAAAATGCACAGGCAACTAAAAACAATTGACAAATTGGACTTTGTAAAATTTTTAGTAAATTATATAACCAAAGGCATTATGAATAGGGTAAAAAGGCAACATACAGAAAAAGAGAAAATATTTGCAAGTTATTTATCTGATAAGAGATTGACATTCAGAATATTTAGAGAATCCCCCAGTCTCAAAACACCAAAACCCAATCCAATTCAGCAATGGACAAAGGACTTGAGTAGATGCTTGTCCAAAGAAGAAATACAAATGGCCAATAAACAGAAAAATATGCTCACCATTGCTAGTCTTTAAGAAAACACAAATCAAAAGTACAATAAGATACCACCTCACATACTTTGGATGGCTACTGTAAAATAAGAATGAAAATAGCAAATAGGGATGAGGATGTAGAAAAATTGAAACCCTTGAGTACTGCTGCTAGCAATGTAAGATGGTGTATCTGCTGAGGAAAAAAGTATGAAGGTTTTTCAAAAAAAAGAAAATATTAATATATTAGTAGTTGTTATGTAATCCAGCAATTCCACTTCAGTCTTTATACCCAAAATAGTTAAAAAGAGCATCTTGAAAAAATATTTGTATGCCTATGTTTATAGTAGCATTATTTAATGTAACTAAAATGTGGAAGCCACCCAAATGTCCATCAACAGATAAATGGAACAGCAAATGTAGTATATATGTATAATGGAATATTATTTACCCTTTAAAAAGAAAACTGTGACATATTATACAGCGTGGATGAACCTTAAGTACACTACATGAAGTAAAATAATCCAGTCACACATAACTGGAAATACATAGACAAATACTATATATAGTATTTGTGTAATATAGTATGAAGTACTCAGGTCAAAATCATAATGAGAAAGTAGAAAGGTGGTTGAGGGTGTGACTGGAGAGTTATTGTTTAGTGGGCAAGAATTTCAGTTTTATAAAATAGAAAGAAATATAGAGATGAATGGTAGTGATGGCTGTACAACATTATGAATGTATTCAATAACACCAAACTGTACATTGAAAAATGATTAGGATGGTAAATTTTATGTTATGATTATTTTACCCCAGTAAAGAATAATCAACATACTCACATAAATTTAAAACATAAAATATAAAAATTATCTAATTAGAAATGCAAATTAAAACCACAATGAGATACCATCTCACACTTGTCAGAATAGTTATTATTAAAAAGTCAAAAAATAACAGATGCTGGCAAGGTTGTGGAGAAAGGAGAAAACTTATATCTTGTTTGTGAATGTAAATTAGGTCAGCCACTGTGGAAAGCAGTTTAAAGATTTCTCAAAAACCTGAAAACAGAATTACCATACAACCCAGCAATCCCATCATTGAGTGTACACCCCAAAGAAAATAAATCTTTCTACCAAAAAGACACATGTAATCTCGTGTTCATCACAGCACTATTCACAATAGCAAAGACATGAAATCAGCCTAGATGCCCCCCAACAGTGAACTTGGATAAACAAAATGTGGTGAATATATACCATGGAATACTACACATCCATAAAAAAGGAAATCATGCTCTTTGCAGCAACATGGATACAACTGAAAGTCATTATCCTAAGCAAATTAATGCAGCACCAGAAAATCAAATATCACATGTTATCACTCTTAAGTGTGAGCTAAACATTGAATACACATGAACTCAAAGATGGGAACAACAGACACGGGGGACTAACAGAAGTAGGAGGAGGGAAGGAGGAGGGTTAGAAGAATTATTGAGTACTATGCTCAGTACTTAAGTGACGAGATTATTTGCACAACAAACCTCAGTAACAGGCAATTTGTCTATGTAATAAAACTGCATATGTATGCTATGAACCTAAAATAAAAGTCAGAAAAAAATGCTCTAATTAAAATTCTAGAACGAAAAGCTACAGTGCCTGAGATGAAAATCCATAGAATGGGATTAACAGCGTATTCTGTAGTGGGGAAGAAATGGTAAGTGAATTGGTGTTTGTTAATTACAGATAAAATTATTATCAGATACAAAATTTATGACATTTATATTTTAAATTATATAAGGAGAATTCTGATCCCAGGACAAGATAATATGGCTTTACTTTTTCTTGTTCTTCTCTTATAAATAAAGCAAATTACTATGGGAATTATTCAACAAACATTATAAAAAGACTCTAAAAGAAATAAACGAAAAGAGTGTTGAGGAGACATTAGCAGTAGACGACCAACACAACACTATGGAAAGCCTTCTGGATTTCTTTGTATTCTCCCACATGTCACAGACTGGGTGAAACCTACAAATAAAAAAAAAATGCTAACAGGAATTAGAAATAGAAAAGTAATATGAAGAAAATTTTTTTTACAGCCAATAAAATAGGAAGAAGTAAGTCCAGAAGGAACTTGATAGGAACACCAGTAACCAGTAGAAATGTGAGTCTAATCACCTGCAGCAATGGAAACATCAGAACGTGGGCAAGCTCTGCCCCAAACCAACCTCTCCTGCCCCGCACACACTGACAAGCCAATTGGTCTGCAGTGGTGTTATCAGAGAGAAAAGCCTGGGTGGGAAAAGCCAGGTCTCAAACCACATCAAGTGTAGCAAAACAGGAGGACTCCTTCCATTTGGTTTGGGAAGGGGAGAGTATTGCAAGCAAAGCAGACGTCTACTGGATATCTCCCGGCACTCCACCTAGTGGCAGAGAATCAACAAAACCATGTTTTCTAGCGTTGCACCCAGCAGCAACAAGTTAACAAGTGACATTTACTGACGAATATGGACACACATGTACAGAAGTACTTTATCATATCATATGCAGAAAAAAATCTAGAAACAGACAAGAAAACATCATATGCAGAAGAAATATAGAAGCAAGACAAGACAATTGTGTCAGTACAGATGAATTGAAAGTATTTGACAAAGTTTTCTAAAAATCCACCATAACATTATTCAACAAAAAATTACTGATTTTCTTGAAACAATTAAAAAATTTTCAGCATATAGACTAAAGTTTTAAAAAATGGGATAGATGTCAGAATTTAAAAAAATACATTAACTGAAATGAAAACTCAATGGAGGGGCTCAATGTTAGAGACAATAGAATCAGAAAACATAAAGACAAATAAATAGAATTTACTCAATCTTAACAACAGGAATAAAATATCATTAAAAATAACATCACCTATAAGGGACTTATGATAAATTAAGAAAATATCTAAATTTATATCATCAGAGTATCAGAAGGAGAAAGAATGGAGTACAAAATGTATTAAAAAAAAGTTGAAATTTTCCCATTTGTGCCAGAAAACATAAACTAATACATCACCAAAACTGAGCAACTCCCACATAGGACAAACCCACAGAAATCCATGCCAACATAATTCTAAAATTTTAATGCACTCAGGGAGAAATGACACTACTTATAAGAGGATATCAATTTGAATGAGCTTAGATTTCTCTTGTGAAACCATGGTGCTGGAAGAACATGGCCTAACATTTTCAAGTATTCATAGAAAAAATTTAATGACAAATTTGATACCCAATTAAACTATTCTTCAAGAAAGAATAAAACAATTACATTTTTAAATGAAGGAAGAGTTAGAGAATTTGTTGGCAGCAGACATATATCTTGAAAAATGGCTAAAGGAAGCTTTTCAAATATAAAGAAATGATAAGAGATTATGGCTTGAAACCAGAAAAGATAGAAGACTAGAATACAGGAATTAGTAAAAATATAGATAACTAGAATATCCTTCTCATAACTGTCTTACAGCATACTTGATTGTTGAAGCACAAATTATAACATCTACTATTGAGGTGTTTGATATACAGAGAGAATATTACTGATTCACTTATATTTAAAAATTAAGGGAGTAGAATAACCAAAGAAAAGTAAGGTTCAAATATTTATTCAAACAGGCAAAATACTGATAACTGATATAAACTGCTTGTATATTTTAATATTTACAGTGACCACCAAGAAAACTATTAAAAGTGATATCCAAAAGAATATATAAGTAAATACAAGAGTGAACACTACGAAATGTTAAAATAACCCATTGGTAGGCAAAAATGTGTGACAGAGAGGCAAAAAAAAAAAAAAGTGTGAGAGAAATATCTGAGGACAAATTAAATTGGCATTCTTAAGCCCTACAAATCAATAATTATTTTATATATAAATGGTATAAATACATAAGCTAAAAAAAATTGGCAGAGTGAACATAGAAGTACAACACTACCATATTTTGTTCACAAGGAAATAACTGTAAACCCAATAACATAGGTAGATTCCGAGTGAAAGGATAAAACACTTTCAATTATTTTTAAAAATAACTTTTAAAAGCAGAAGTGGCTATATAAATATCAGAGCAGACTTTAGAGGAAATAAAATTACTAGAGGCAAGGGAGGATATCACATTATGATAGAAGGATGAATCTGCATGGGAGCTATGGTGATTATAAATGTTAGAACGGAAAAGATAAATGGACAAATTCACAATTATAAATGACTTTTAACAACCCCTCCCTGCAAGTGATTCAGACACCTAAAATTAGCAAGAATCTAGAATATCTGAACAAGACAAAAAATTAATGGTATCTTTAATATATATACTAGATACTATTAGTATTTTGTATAGTTAACTATTAGATACTATTAGTTTTATATACACACATATGATTTATAATATATACATTTATATTTATGTGTATGTATGTGTGGGAACTTCATCGCATACCTGGAGAATACATTTTTCCCCCAAGCTCGTGGAACACTTGCCAAGATAGATCGTATACTGGAGTGTAGAACAAATCTCAAACAGAGTGCAATCAGTGAAAATAGTGAAGTAGGAAGGCCGAAGGATCCATCTACTCACAGCAACACTGAAAATCAAGCAAAAACAATTAGAATCAATTTTGTCAAGTCAGGGAAATAGTCAAAGGTTTACAGCAATTATTTAAGTGCTGAAACCTGCACGTTCTGCACGTGTACCCCAGAACTTAAAGTATAATTTAAAAAAATAAAAAATAAATGCTGAATTTTTAAAAAGGCAACTTAAAATGGTAACAAAGTTTGTGGTATTTTTACTCGTGCTTACCTTATCTCTCTCCCTGGGTCCGAGGATTTTTAAAGATGGCAGCATATGGTACCCGTGTAGGGTCTTCGTCCCTGGTTCTTGAGGGAACATAGCAAAATTTATCATCAAATAATCATATTTGTCTCATTCCCTGTCTGGGAGCCCTATGAAGGTATGACACAAGGTGCTGTTTAGCATAAATCAGAACTGACTTGAAACAAATGAGTAGTGAGAATTCCTTGAAAGGCAAATGAACAACCACCTGTTCCTTGGGGCAAAATATTTAAGTAGAAGCAAAGTATAGAGCACGATAGCCTGAAATGTAAAGCTGAGAGGAAATTTGCTTGTTCATAATTAGGGCATTCAAAAGTCCACCTGTACACTGGGGGACTGAGAAAGTGACATGTATACTCAGGGGAAAATGTAAGTTCAGAAAGGTAAAGAACTGAGAATATCCTAAGTTTTCACCTCTGGCTGATCTGTAGGCTCATTGTTAAAGCAATGTTTCAAAAATTTTTTTAAAAATTATCTGCTCAAAAAAATCGGTAAAGAAATTAATGTTTTCTGAAAGTAATGAGAAGGAATAGAAGAAACAGTTGGCTTGCTGTGTTTATATTTAGAGAAATATTTAAACATGTTTTTCAGATAAAAACATAATTGATAATCAAATATGAAATTAAATATAACTATATTTCAGTAATGTATTTGAACCATTTGAGTGTATTTGAACCATTAAACTGTGGTTGTATAACTGATAGCAAACATGTTATAATGGAAAAGAAAACTAACCTTCAATTGTTAAGCTCTAAATTCACACAAATACATATACACATCAGTCATTTAAAAAAGTACTTTATTTAAAAAGACTGTCATATTTTAAAATCAGACGTGTAATTTTACATATTTAAGTTGAATATACTTAGTTTCTTTTCTTAGCACAAAGAGCAGTAAACATGTTGAATATTCTATAAGTATAAAATCATTAATGGACCAAATAGCGATTATTTTTATTTTGCGTTCTTTCCTTTGACATGCTGAAATTAAAATTAATTTCATGTGAAAAAACTTTCTAACATGAATTATTCAAACACAAGTAATTTTATTTCATAAAAACCAAATTTGTACAATGTCCAAAGGCATTTTATAAAATAAGAAAAATTAATTCATCAAGTAAACAACTAATTACCGTGTAATAATAATAGTTGCAAGCGTGAAAAATATTTGTTTCTTCTTAATTATTAAGGAAGAACAGTCTATACAGTATAACTGCACAGTATTTTAAAGAAAATACATTATGAAATGAATAGCCTGTATTACAAAACACTATTAAAAACTGCTTCTTATTTTTGTGCTTATTTTATAAGTTGTAAAGGTTTATTTCTCAATATCGAATAAAAATGGTTACTTACTAAAAATCACCTGTTTTTCTGACATTTTATTGAATTCAAATTTTTAATGTACAACATTCCGATTTGCAAAGCCTAATAGAATAAAAGACAATATTTATGGCAGTATACACTTCACCAGTACATATTACAGTTTATTGTATTTGCTTACATTCTTTTCACACTCACCATTCAAGAATCTTTCCATAGAACTTCAGCTGAGATTCTTGAATGGTGAGTGTAAATTGAGCCTTAGTTAAAACTGAAAACATTTGGTCCACTATGTATACATCCGCTTAATAAAAAACTGGCTCTGCACATTATACTACAACCATATTTACCACATAATCAACATATCCTGATAGCAGAGATGAATTGCTGCAAATTCCCTTTAAATAATCTCACTTCAATATACCCTGTACCTTGTTTTTCTGATAACATTCAATTGCAAATGTACTTTTATATCAGTTTTTCTCTAAGTAGTTAAAAGACCTGTCTATAGTGTTTTTGAAGCCACAGAGGCATAAAATTGCCAGTGAATTTAAACAAGTATACACAGAGATGTAAATAATATTTTTACTTCAGCAAATGTTTAATAAGGACCACCTTTGTGTAAAACAATTTGCTGTATTATAAATGAAAAGCAAAAAAAAAAAAAAAAAAGCCTGAAACTACTTCAGCAAATTTGAAGCTGAATAGCAGAAGACTGGTGTGAACACAAACACCCCAGCACCGCTATGACACAGAAATAATAAAATTGTATTTACATGGAAAAGCAGGCTGAATCAAAGTGTCAGGAAGCTTAATTTGAACTGAAGGAATAAAAGAATCCGGAAGTACTACAATCAAAAAGTTGTCATTTGAGTCACGAACACTGAATGGAATTTAGACATATTAATATGAGTGAAAGGAAGATGAAAATAGAGAATCTTTTTAAAAATAAGAGCTTCATTATGTCACTGAGACATTCATTGTCTCTGCATTAAACCAGATAATATGCTGTAAGCACAACGTGCATGTGTTAATCACATTTATAATTTGTGCTATTGCTCATTCTAGTTTAAATTTGGATTTTTCTCTAATCTACCTCCGCACAAATCCCAATCATCCCTTAAGAAGTATTCAAACCAAGTGTCAAGCTCAAGCCTTATTGTTCTATCCTTGGAAATTATTTTGTCTTCATTTACATATAGCATATTGATATTTGAGATAGCTTGTTTTTGGTGATACTGTGTGTGTGTGTATATTCTCCTATTTCTGCTCTAAGGCCTAAGCACTACGTGGACAGATGCCTAATTGTTCCAGTTGCCCAGGGCTCCCTTACTAAGTAACACAAACTGGGAGACTTAACACAGCAGAAATTTATTCTCTCATAGTTTGGAAGCCAGAGGTCTGAAATCAAAGTTTTCTGGGGGTTGGTTTCTTCTAGAGGCTCTGAGGGAGAATTTTTCCCATACTTCTAGCTTCTAATGGTTGCCAGGAAGACTTGACATTTCTTGGCTGATACGTGAGTCACTGAGATCTCTGCCTTTGTCTTCACATGACTTTTCTCCTGTATGTCACATGGCCATTTCTCCTCTTCCTATAAGGAAACCAGCCATTGAATTTAGGTTCCACCCTAATCCACTATGACCTCATTATAACATAACTACATCTACAAGGATTCTCTCTAAATAAGATGACATTCTGAGGCTCTGTATGGACTTGAATTTTGTGTGGACACTCGCCAATTTGCTACAAACATCAATTTAATCAATGAGCGTTTGATGAGTGTCTGTGTCTACGATGGGACAACACTGAGTTTATATGCACTGTTTGATTTTATCTGTTCACAGAAACAAAAAAAAGTGACATTAATTTAATTTTTAAAAAACAGCTTACTTTCTCTATATTATCTTGCATTTCAAATTAGTTATTAAAATGTGTTATACTGTTAATTTCCAATAGTCAAGAAATCTGCATTTTCAAAAATCACAGGTTTTAAAAATTAATACAATGAATTCTTTTTTCCCTGAAGCTTATTATAAAATGTTGGCAGTAGTAATTAAGTCACATCTTCAAAGTTAGAGTGACAAGTATCTATTTGATGTTATCTAAAAATCAAGACAGAAAAAAAATGTAAGGTTAAATGCAAGTCATGTCAATATGAAAAGGAAAAATATTTGGAAGCTTGCTTTTGCTCTGAAACTTTTAGTTAAAATGCTTTACTCCAACTCTCACATGGTCAACATGGTATTTTCAAAAATGTGTAAACCTTAGGCTTTCCCAAAGGTGCAAACCATAAAACCATAATCACAGAAACAACCAGGTTAAAAAATAATAATAATAATAATAAAATATCCTTCTAAGACATTGGAACTTAGAGTGGTAGCTTAACAGAATTAACATAAAAATTATCCACAGGCAAACCATACGTCTAGAACATTTCATGCAGCCAACACATTATCATGCATATAGAACAAGTAGAGATAATTGCTGAGAAGATAATAATTATACATGATTGAATACATAAATGGGCTTATGTGTATCATTGATCTCAACTTGGAAGTCAGTCAAGAAACTCTATCATTAAGAAGAATGTTGAAATAATATTATTTCTGTTCATTCTCACTTCAGTATTAGGACATCGAATCCCATTTTTCTTAGGTTGACTTCATACCAACTACTAAGTCCCAGAGTGCATTTCCTTTTCTTACTTGACAAAAAAATGCCACTTAATGATAATGTCATTTACTGTGTTAAAATGTGAGTTGCTGTAGTTTCACCAATGGCCTTTATTAATTCATTCTTATTTTCTCTCTGGAAACAAGTTTAAAGCAAGTCAGACTGGCTAGAGTTAGAAAACATTTTGGCTACGCCAACACTACAACACTGGGGACTTTGAGAAAGGAAGAGTAAGCACTGGCACTACCTCAGTTAGAGCACGTTCACCTCCAAGGGAAGAGGTTGATTCCAGAAAAAGTTCCAGAGAGCTGAAGTTTGATTAGTGGAGAGAAAAAGGCATTAATTTCCCAGAAAGGTACACTCCTGAGGACATACCGTGGTATTCACTTGTGTGAAGGAAGGTAGCCAGAGAGAGTGGGGAGAGGGAGACAGAGAGAGAGAGACCAGAATATAAGTCCATCTCTTACAGCAATATTGCTCTAAATTATTACTGTCCCATGGCTTACCAATATCAGAACTCTGACTACCAATCAGATTTCCAATTACACAATGCATTCTTATTTAATTAAAGGCTTTGTATTACTGACACACTACAATAAATAGCTTACTTATTCACTATGAAACCTAGAGACTGCACTTACAGTTCAAGATAATACCAAGTGAGTGTAGTATGATGTAATTATTTTGTCTCTTTATGGTTCTAACTTCATTCAATCTGTTGAAAAAGTGAAGAACACAATTTTTCTGTACTCTAACCTATCACTCCCTTGGCACCTGCTTTTTTTCTCGTCAATACTATTTTCTCTTCTATTTTATTTTTCAGTCTCCTCTTAGGATTTCTCTTATAACTGTAAAGACAGATGTGCCAGAGCCAGTTTTCTTGAATGAGAGAAGATGGATGCAATTTAATGTATGAAGTAACAATTTTAAATTAAACAATCACACCCACCATCAGAATCATTGCCCTCAGCTATATGTAAATTAACATTAAGGAGGTGCACAATCATGATCCATAATGAAGTCCTGAATTTCAGGTGGTCAATCAATATTGATTTAATTAGCCCTTCATGCAAACTAAAGGCCACAATAAGAGGACTTGCAATAACAATATATACCAGTGAAGAAAACAAACACACAAAAATTTAAAAAATATAGTCATAGTCATGTGCCTCGTAATGATATTTTAGTCAATGATGGATCACATATATGATGGTCTTCTCATAAGATTATAATCGTGTATTTTTACTGTACTTTTCCTCTGTTTAGATATGTTTAGATACACAGATAGTTACTATGTGTTTTATCACTTATAGAATTCAGTACAGTAACATGCTGTACAGGTTTGTAGCCTAGACGCAATAGGCTATACAACACAGCCAAGGTGTGCAGTAGGCTATACATCTGGGTTAGTGTATGTACACACTGTGATGTTTGCACAGTGTTGAAATTACCTAACAACACATTTCTCAGAAAATGTCCAACAACATATGACTGTAAATGTAACAGAAAACTTGAAAAAGGTCTGATTTATGCTTGAATCATTTTTCTAAGTACTTACTATCAAGGATCACTGATACGGTTTGGCTGTGTCCCTACCCAAATCTCATCTTGAATTGTAGTTCCCATAATTCCCACGTGTCATGGGAGGGACCGTGTGGGAGATAACTGAATCGTGGTGGGGGAGTGGGGGGGTTCTTTCCTGTGCTGGTCTCATGAGAGTGAATAAATCTCAGGAGACCTGATGGGTTTATAAAGGGGAGTTCCCCTGCACACGCTGTCTTGCCTGCTGCTATGTAATATGTGACTTTGCTTCTCATTCACCTTCAACCGTGATTGTGAGGCCTCCTCAGCCATGTGGAACTGTGAGTCAATTAAGCCTCTTTCCTTTATAAATTACCCCATCTTGAGTATGTCTTTATTAGCAGCATGTGAGCAGACTAAAATAATCACTTTCTTTATTCTCAAGACAATCATTATTTAGTTGTCCTTATTTTAAATAGGATAAAATGATGCTTCACCAGTTTTTTTCCCTTATTTGCCTTAATTCACATATGGGAGAAATTCTGAGGCAGATATTCAAATACAAGCAGTCATATTCCAAAATCTAAGGAGTAGTTCAAAAACAGCTCCACTGATTGTTAATGAGCATAATTCTCAAAATCAATTACTGCAATGACTAGTAAACTATAATTATTTATACACTGAGTTCCAATACATAAATGCATATTAACATTGGGTCAGTAATGTGAGGTATAGAATATAATTTAAAATTTGATCAGGGCCCAGCATGGTGGCTTATGCCTATAATCGCAGCTACTCCAGAGGGTGAGGTTGGTGGATCGCTTTAGCCCAGGAGTTCAAGGCTGCAGTGAGCTATGATCATGCTACAGCACTTCATTGTGGGCAACAAAGCAAGACCCCATCACAAAATATATAAATAAATAAACACAATTTAAAAAAATAAAATTTTGGTAGAATATTCATGCAAAGACTTTAAAATGTATTTTGGAAAATTGCTTAACACATTAAGAAATATATATATAATTATTCATGGTATGTAATATATCATCTACATATATAATGATATATAGTATAATATATAACTATGTATTATGTACAGATATACTACATTTAATATTTTAATGGTACAACATCTTGCATATGGATTTCAGTTACTCATTCTGATATAGCAAAAATATCATTGGAACAGTGTAATAGAATTGAGAATGCTCTGTATTTTACTACAAATTTAGTATATTTCTTTATTTTTATTTATTTATTTATTTGCGATGGAGTCTCGCTCTGTTGCCCAGGCTGGAGTGCAGTGGCGCTATCTCGGCTCACTGCAAGCTCTGCCTCCCGGGTTCATGCCATTCTCCTGCCTCAGCCTCCCGAGTAGCTGGGACTACAGGTGCCCACCACCACGCCCGGCTAATTTTTTGTATTTTTTAGTAGAGATGGGGTTTCACCGTGTTAGCCAGGATGGTCTTGATCTCCTGACCTCATGATCTGCCTGCCTCGGCCTCCCAAAGTACTAGGATTACAGGCGAGCCACGGTGCCCGGCCCAAATTAAGTATATTTCTGAATGAATTTATTTTGTATGTTTTATATTGTGTAAAATATAAATGTATGGTATAACATTACTTTTGCAAGCCTAAAATGTTTCAAAATTTGTTGTTAGCTTGGTGCACATGTAATCGCGGTTTTGCCATTGAAAGCGATGGCAAAACCGCAATTACTTTTGCACCAACCTAATATTTATACCAGTTCCAACAAATCGGATGCACAGTATTTGAAATTAAGGCATTAGAAAATTACTCTTATATCTGAAATGTAGCAGCTTTTTCTGATTAATTTGAATTCAGTTATGTACAATTACTCAGAAAGACATAGAAATAAATAAATATGGATATTATCTATTGGTTCACTCAATTTTAACATATGCTGCTTTTCATAATATGTTTCAATTAATAATTAGTATTTTACTTGCCTAATGTATACTCCTTGTAAAAGAATACATCATCATACAATGTTTTCAAATTTTAATGATGAATTAATGATATATTTGCACATATTATTTGGTGTTTTAATTGCAGTATATTGCCAATCAAGGCAACTAAACAAAAAATACTTTAAGATAGTTAAAAATAATCCAAACAAGTAGTCTTATAAAAACCCTTTTGCATTAACATATTGGTACAAATTGTGAATAGTAGTGATTATAATGAGGCAGGTGGCTGGAGTTATCAGTTTCCAGACAGCTGGTAGAGCTGAAGTAAAAACCAATTATTCAATTTGGCTTCCAGATTTTTATTTGTTTATTCTGGCATATACTGGCGTTATCTTTCCCATCTGGATTTGGTAAGTTCTTTGAATAAGTGGGAGAATTAAATCAACCCACTGAATTTTGATTTAAACATTACTTTTGCGTTTTTTTTTTTTGCATGATCTTTCTAACAAAAAATGTAAAAACCACCTGTATCATTAAGATTCTTTGAATTTTATATAACATTATCATGTGTATTTAACAGTGAAAAGTTTGTTCTGTATTATAGACAACAAATTCTCCAGTAGAATTTCAATGGAATTCATGAATTAATGATAAATACGTGAACACATAAAATTCAAAAATTACTGGTTTTTTCCCAAATGAAACACACTATAAATCACACTGTAATAGCATACAACTAAAAACATTTAAATATTTTCCTTGAAATAAGCCTAACAATAATTGGTACTAAGAGTTTAGAAAAACAAACTAAAAACACCTTTCTGTATATAAGAAGTTTGTACATGTTGGAAGTGTTACCAACAAATGAGAAGGGGCTGAAGTTACCTTTGTAGTAGATTATATGAATAATACTTGACCCAATGAGTTTATAAAAATTAAAGTTGGAGAAAATATGACAACAAATGAAGCATACTTCAAGTGAATATAAAAATTTAAATATCAAAGCAACATATAGGTCAAATAGAAAAACATATGCTATTTTAGTAATCTTTCATTGACAAACGTCTTCTAAAGCAAAAATCTAAAAAGTACAAATTTTACAGTTGACAAAAAACATTAATTATATTACAAAGTAAGTAACAATTTCTGTGACATAATGGGTATCATAAACAATTCAATGATAGCTAATAATCTGATAAAATATCATTCCAATATCTACATTTGAAATGGGATTTGTACTTAAATTATATGAGAAAATCATGCATTCAGCCAAGATAATAAGAAAACATTCAACTACATACGGTTCCAAGAGATATACTTTAAATATGATGATTCAAATAGGTGAAATTGAAAATATGGAAAATTGTATGCCATAAAAAAGTAAGCATAAAACACCTTGTATTGTTATCAGACAAAGTGGACTTTAACAAAAAGAGTTTTCATCTTCATTGACATAAAAGTGGGCATTTCATATGCTAAAAGAATCAATTCATGTGGAACCCATAACGTCTTAAACATATACAGACCTAAAAATAGTGCTTCAAAATTCATGGAGCAAAAACTGAGAAAATAAAAAGGATAAATAAATTTTCAATACTACTGGGATCAGAGACATTAGTTTCACTCCCTGAGTAATTATAGAACCAGTTAGACCAAATATGTGTATATTTATAGATATAGAGATGATAGATAGATAGATAGATAGATAGATAGATAGATAGATAGGGATAATCAGTAGAGTTGTAGAGGATTTAGGGAATGTTATTTACTAACTTGATCTATTTTATATTTACAGAAAACTTATCCACCAAACAGTAGAAAAACCTAATTACTTCCAAATGACCACGAAATATTCACGAAGACAGACAATATTCTGGGTCACAGACCACAAAGATTGAAATCATACACAGTGTATTATCTGACACAACATTAAAATAAATGTAAATATCAAGAAAACAGAAAAGAACCAAAATATTTGGAAATTAAAAAACACTTTTAAATAATTCATAGTTCTGAGAAGAATAAGAATTAACATAGGCAAAATGAGCAAATCCCTTGTACATGGCAAATATAAACAGTTGTCCATAACTGACACCAAACAAATTATTTTGTGTTAACCAGTTATATTTGTAAATTACTTTGTTAACAAAATGAACAAATATGTTTGGTTTAAATTTTACATGTTAAGGATATTGAATCTGTAATCAAAAACCTGCCTTCAAACTTCACCTCACATTATTTCACTGGTGTATTACAAAAATAAAAATCAATCTACAGATTATCTTTCAACAAATAAAAAGGAAAATATGCTTCCCAATTCATTGTAGAAAGCTGTCACACTTCTGATACCAAAACTGTACAAAGACATTGCAAAAAAAATTTTTTTAAGTATATCACACTGTTAAACATAAACCTTATTTTAATATTTAATGAAACAAGTCTTGGAAGATATCAAAAAGGTAATGCATAGAAATTGAATCCGTAATAAAAAACCTGGCTTTGAACTTCACCTCACATTATTTACTGGTGAATTATAAAAATAAAAATTAGAATTAATCTACAGATTGTCTTTAAATAAATAGAAGAGACAATATGCTTCCCAATTCATTGTATAAAGCTATCACATTCCTGATACTAAAACTGTATAAAGACATTTCAAAAAAAACATTTTTAAGAAGTATATCACACTATCACACATAAACCTTCTTTTAATATTTAGTGAATCAAGTCTTGGAAGATATCAAAAGGATAATACATAATAGCTAAATGGACTTCAGTTATGCAAGATTAGGTCAACAATACAAAATCTCTGAAGGTATAACTTCAGAAAAGAGATGAAAAAGAGAAAACCCATGTGATCACCTAAATGGGTGCAGAAAAGGTATTTGGCAAAATTCAATACCTATTCATTATAAAACTTGTCAGGAGTTTATGAATTAAAGAACTTTCTCAACCTAATAAAGATTATCTATGTAAATGCTATAACTCACAGCATTATTAATAGTGAAAAGCTAAATGCTTTCCCTCTATGATCAATTGGTTAAAGGCAAGGATTTCTGTTCTCACCACTTCTATTCAATATTTTACTGATATTACTAACAGATTAAATAATGCAAGAACTAAATTATAGGTATACATTTAGCAAAATAAAAATAACAATAATCCTTTGCTTTTTGCAGAAGATATGATTGTCTATGTAGAATATCCCAAGCAATCTACAGCTATCTACTCAAATAGCAAATTAATTTTACAGGGACATGGGTCCAAAGTTAGTACACATAATCAATTCTACATATAATAGCAACAAACGATGAGAAAATATTACTGAAGTATATGTATTAGTCCGTTTTCACACTGCCAATAAAGACATATGAGAGACTGGGTAATTTATAAGGAAAAAGAGGTTTAATGGACTCACAGTTCCATGTGGCTGAGGAGGCCTCACAATCATGGTAGAGGACAAGGAGAAGCAAGTCGCATCTTACGTGATGGCAGGGAAGAGAGTGAATGAGAGCCAACTGAAACGGGTTTCCTCTTTCGGAAACCATCAGATCTTGTGAGACTTATTCAGTACCATGAGAACATCATGGGGAGCAACGCCTCAACGTTTCAATTATCTCCCACTGGGTCATTCCCACAACAAGTATTATGGGAGCCACAGCTCAAGATGAGATTTGGGTGGGGACACAGCCAAACTGTATCATTTCGCCCCTGGCCTCTCCCAAATCTCATGTCCTCACATTTCACAACCAGTCATGCCTTCTCAACAGTCCTTCAATGTCTTATTTCATTTCAGCATTAACTCAAAAGTCAACAGTCCAAAGTCTCATCCATGACAAGGCAAGTCCCTTCGGCCTATTAGACTGTAAAACCAAGAGCAAGTTAGTTACTGCCTAGATACAATGGGGTAAAGGTATTTGATAAATACACCCATTCCAAATGGGAGAAATGGGCCAAAGGGGCTAAATGCCCCAAGCAAGTCTGAAATCCAGGGAGGGGGCAGTCAGATCTTAAAGCTCCAAAATGATACTCTTTCACTCCACATCTCACATCCAGGTCACACGGATACGAGAGGTGGGTTCCCATGGTCTTGAGCAGCTACACCCCAGTGGCTTTGCAGGATACAGCCTCCTTCCCAGCTCCATTCATGGGCTGCCATTAAGTGTCTGTGGCTTTTCCAGGTTCACAGTGTAAGCTGTAGGTGGATCTACCATTCTAAGGCCTAGAGGATGGTGGCTCTCTTCTCACAGCTCCACTAGGCTGTGCCCCAGTGGGGACTCTCTGTGGGGTCTTCAACCCCACATTTCCCTTCTGCACTACCCTAGCAGAAGTTCTCCATGAAGGCCCTGCCCCTGCAGCAAACTTTTGCCTGCACATCCAGGCATTTCCATACATCCTCTGAAATCTAGGCGGAGGTTCCCAAACCTCAATTCTTGATTCCAGTACACCTGCAGGCTCAACACCACATGAAAACTGCCAAGGCTTGGGGCTTGCACCCTCTGAAGCAATAGCCTGAGCTGTGCCTTTGCCTATTTTAGCCATGGCTAGAGCAGCTGGGATGCAGGGCACCAAGTTCCTCGGCTGCACACAGCAGAGGGGCCCATCAAACAATTTTTTTCCTCCTAGGCCTCTTCGCCTGTGATGGGAGGGGTTGCTGTAAAGTTCTCTGAAGTGCCCTGGAGACATTTTCCCCATAGTCTTGGTGACTAACATTTGGATCCTCATTACTTATGTAAATTTCTGCAGCTGGCTTAAATTCCTCCTCAAAAAATGGGTTTTGCTTTTCTATCACATTGTCAGGCTAAAAATTTTCCAAACTTTTATGCTCTGTTTCTCTTTTAAAACTGAAACTTTTATCAGCACTCAAGTCACCTCTTGATTGCTTTGCTGCTTAGAAATTTCTTCCACCAAATACCCTAAATCATCTCAAGTTAAAAGTTCTACAGATCTCTAGGTCTGGGGCAAAATGCCATTGGCCTCTTTGCTAAAACATAAGAAGAGACACTTTTACTGTGGTTCCCAACAAGTTTCTCATCTCCATCTGAGACCACCTCAGTTTGGATTTCATTGTCTACATCATGATCAGCATTTTACTCAAAGCCATTCAACAAGTCTCTAGGAAGTTCCAAACTTTCCCACATTTTCCCGTCTTCTTCGAAGCCCTCCAGCCTGTTCCAAACTCTTCCTGTTACCCCGTTCCAAAGTTGCTTCCACATTTTTTGGTATCTTTACAGCAGCGCCCCACTCCCAGGACCAATTTACTGTATTTGTCCATTTTCATGCTGCTAATAAAAATATGCCCAATTCTGGGTCATTAATAAAGAAAAAGAGCTTTAATGGACTTAGAGTTCCATGTGGCTGAGGAGGCCTCACAATCATGACAGAAGGCAAGGAGAAGCAAGTCACATCTTACATTGGCAGCAGGGAAGAGAGAGAATGAGAGCCAAGTGAAAGGGCTTTCCCCTTATAAAAACACCAGATCTTGTGAGACTTATTCACTACCATGAGTAGAGTATGGAGGAAACTGCCCCCATGGTTCAATTATCTCCCACTGGGTCACTCTCACAATGCACAGGAATTATGAGGGCTACAATTCAAGATGAGATTTGGGTGGGGACACAGCCAAGCCATATGAAATACCCTTAAATAAATACATTCTGTGAAATATGGTCTAAGACTCTATATTAAAGCATTACAAAAATTAGAGAAATTCAAGGACATATAAATAAATTGAGAGATGGCCTATGTTCATGAATTGATAGACTCAGTATTGTTAAGACATCCATTTTAAATTTTATCAACAAATTGAATAAAATCCAAATCAAATTCCAACTGAGATTCTGTTTGTTGACTTTTAGAAATAAAAAGCTAATTCTAAAATTTATTTGGAAAAGCAAAGAACCCAAAATAGCCTAAACTATTTTGAAAATGACAAACTTGAAGAAATTATACCCAGTTGTAGCAGTACTTACTGAAAAGCTACTGTTATGAACTCAGTGTGACATTTATGTAAATACAGACAAACGAAAGGAATTAAAAAAGTCCAAAATAGAGGTATATCTGGTCAGCTGATGTATGGCAAAGATGCAATGTACTTCAATAGAAAATGACTAATTTGTTAAACAAATGGCCCTAGCCCATCTCATTATATATAATGAAAACATAGAATACCAATCCCAACTCTAACACCATATAAACAAACGAATTTTAATGGATCATAGGCCCAAAGGTAACATCTGTACAATTTCTAAAGAGTAACACAAAAATTTTATTAATAGAATCTTGAGTAGAAACAGATTCCTTGAAAGAACACACAAACTCACTAATCATAACATTTAAAAATATGACATATTTGTTGGGCACAGTGTCTCATGCCTGTAATCCCAGACTTTGGGAGGCCAAGGCAAGAGGATGACTTGAGTTCAGGAGTTAGAGACCAGCCTGGGCAACATAGTAAGACCTGGTCTCTACAAAAAAGAAAAAATAAGCAAAATTAGCCAGGCTTGGTGGTGAGCACCTGCAGTCCCAGCTACTCTAGTGGGAGGACCACTAGAGCCTGGAGGGTTGCAGTTGCAATGAGCAGAGATCACATGACTGCACTCACTCTAGCCTGGGAAGCACAATGAGACCCTGCCTGAAAAAAAATGACAGTAAAAATCATATGTTAAACTTTACCAAATGAAAATTACTCTTAAAAATCTATTAACATAATCAAACCGCAAGCCGCAGGCTGAAAAATAATCTTTGCAATACTTACATAGTATTACAAGTCATAGCAGTTGTTACCAGGGACAGATTTGTAAGGAACTGATTGACAAGGAAAGCTAAGAATTTTCTAGGGTGATATAAATGTTCTATTTCTTAATAAGTGTTTTGGTTCAAGGTAATAGTATTCATTTGCCACAATTCATTAAACTGTAACCTTAAAATGTACATTCCTTCTATCTAAATTATACTGCAAAAATCTTGTTAAATATGTGACTTGATATCTGTAGAACAAGTCATCCCACATATACTGTTTTATTCAAGACATCCTTTGCTCTTCTTGGCACTTCTATTTCCATGTAAGTTTTATCATGAAAAAATATCAGAAGTGAACATATAACTTTGCTGGTGAGACACAGATTTTACATTTATGGTAAGTTTGTTATCAACAAATTGACCTAGAAATTATACACTACCTTTTGATTTCTTCCTTGTTTTAAGGAAGTTAAAATTATACTCTCCAGATGCATATTTTTCAGTAACCATTAACATTTTCCCATGACTTATTAGATCATGTCTAAATTTTAAAAAATCAGTCTCTTCCCCAGAGATTGGTGGGCTCATATATACTCATACAGAACTATAAAATTCAATTCTTAAATATTTTGAATTTTGTGGGCTAGTTGACATAACTTTGGTATCTGAAAATTTACAATAGCAGAAGTATTTACCCAAGGAAATTGTCATAGGTACAAAACAGGGGCCTGCCTGCCTGCCTTCCTTCCTTCTTTCCTTCCTTCCTTCCTTCCATCTTTCCTTCCTTCCTTCCTTCTTTCCTTCCTTCCTGCCTTCTTTCCCTGCTCCCTACTTCCACTCTCTCCCCCACTCCCTCCTCCCCTCTTCCTCCCTTCCTTTCTCCTTCCCTCTCTTCCTTCCTTCCTTCTTTTTTCCTTTCCTCCTTTCTTCCTTTCTCTCTCTCTTTCTCGGTTTTCCTCACATGTCTGGTAGTTCAACCTTTACCACACATCACTGCCTTTAAGATAATACAAATATATTAGATCCATGATGCTTTGTCTCCTATTTCAATTCCTCCTCTTTCAGTCTATTTCTCAACAAATAAGAAAAGTGATTTTCTTAAAATGTATATTAGGCTATTTTACTTACTGTATAAAAAATACTCCAAATGGTTGCAAATGCTCACATAATGAAATCTAAAGCTAGTAAAATGATTTACAACTCCTCGAATAATTTTTATTACTGTCTATTTTTATTAATCTCACTATTTATTTTTCAGAGATCAACATTGTCTGTCTGACTTCCTATGATTTCTTTTCCCCCACACCTTTATTAAGGTATAATGGTATTAAAAATTCACATAATTAATGCATACAATTTGATGAGTTTGAATGTATGTATAAACTCATGTTACTATCATCACAATCCAGATAGTAAACATATCTATCACCTCCAAAAGCTTTTGTGTGTCCCTTTGGCTTTGTTTGTTTTTGTGGTGAGAACACCTAAAATGAGATCTGCCCTCTTAAAAAGTGCTTAAGTACTTAAGTAAGTACGTTATTATTTACTATAGGAATCATGTTGCATAGGACAACTTACTCATATTGTATAACTGTAGCTTTATATCAATTAAACAATTTCCAATAGCCCTCTCTCCCATTCCCTGGTAATCAACACTCTACAGTCTACTTCCATACCTTTGGCTATTTGATATGCCTCATATAAATCATGTGCTCTATGTCCTTCTGTGACTGATTTATTTCACTGAGCACAACTTCTTTCAGGTTTATCTATGTTGTTGCAAATAATGGTAGGATTTCCTTTTTTAGGACTGAATAATATTTTATTGTATGTGTATGCCACAACTTTTTAGTCATTCATCTGTTGATGGAATTTGAGTTGTTTCTATATCTTGGCTATTATAAATAATTCTTCAATGAACATGGAAGTGCAGATATCTCTTTGAAAACCTGATTTCAATCATTTTAGAGGTATACCCAGAAATGAGATTGCTAGATCTTTTGGGAGAACTATTTTTTATTGTTTTGAGGACCTTCCATATTGTCTTCCATAATTTTATTTCATTGAGGTAGAACTTTATGGTAAAATTAACTACTTTAAATATATTTAATAAATCTGACAATTTTGAAACTATGTGTCTGATTTTAAAAATGAGTAAGAAAAATTGAACAGAAAATAACAGAAACTGTGGTGGGTGGGGAAAGACATTATATTTATTTGAATGATGTACTTTGAGATTTCTGGGGAAGAATGTACATTGGTCATTTGTTTTCCTTACAGGATACACAAAGAGCAGTGGTTAGCATTGAGAGAGTGCCCTCATGATTCTGAGAGCAGGACTACCTAGTAAGAAGGGATACCTTCCAGAACTTAAGCTAAGAGGCTGAGAAGTGTAGTGGGAAAACAGGGAGAGGGAGAGAAGAATAAATAATTATTTGAATGTACAAAATTTTCAAAAAGTATTCATGGACACAGTATATGATATCTCAAGCATTAAATTTACTTGAAAGCAGACCAATTTTAAGATTGCTATTTCCAGTCCTTTTGTTAATAGAAGATAGTTTTAGTTAAAATCCAATGAAAAAGTTTCAGTGAAAGCCAGATTCATAAACACTACACATTTAATTAGGTTATGAAATATTAAAATAGCAGTTATTACATTATAACACTATGAACCTAATAAAAGCATAAACTTTTTCAAATTTTAAAACAATTAGTTTTATGATACCTACTTGTGTTGCAGACTCATAAAATAGACTATTCAAGTTAAAAGATTATTTTTTCAAATTTACATATGTCAATTTAAGTTAAACTCTTAATTTTGCATAATATTTTACATTTTTTTAACTTAGTTAATAGTTATTTTAACTTTGGCTTAAATAAGATATTTTCTTTGTTAAAAAATGTAAAGAAGTTTCAAAGACATTATGATGCACAAATGGAATTTCAGATAACAATAATATTTAATTATTGTTGAATAATTTGTCTGTAACTAAAGTGTGAAGCCATTAATATGGGGCACAATTTGAAGTCATTTTCTTAAATGTAATGATACAATATAAAGAAAATAGGCTGGAAGTCAAAATATTCTCTCACTTGCCCTAAAACTGGCTTGAGCTAGTTATTTAACTTTTATCTGCCTTAGGTTCATAATTTACGAAGTTCTCTTCAAGCTACAAATTCTCATGTCTATGAAATTAGACCTAACCGTCCTCATCAATTCAACACCCTAACAGTTGTTTTATAACACACAATTCATTCACAGAGTTTCTAAAATCTAAATTATTTCTCTGTATCAGTGTTGAATTCTATATTCTTTTATATTTATTCACCAAGTGTCACAACAGGAATCTGTACACATATATTAAAGTGAAGAATACTTTCAATAACTTTCAAGCAAAAATATGACAAATAAACTTTGCTCTCTTGTACTATCTACAAATTTTGAAAATATTTTTAAGCCTAAGCATCTACAAAGAGTATCAAAAATTTACAGTCGCTATGTAACATGAATTAATCCAGAAAGTAATATTTTCTTGGAAATAAACATCTTAGATTTTATAATATGTAGATTGTATATAATGTATTTTCAAACGTCATGAAGTTATATTCAATCATAATGTTAGACAGGAATGATGTCAGAAAAAGATTGTGAAAATTTGTACATACATGTAATAGATAACTTTTTATACCTTATTTGAACATGTAAAAATCAGGCTTTTTAAAAGTAATATACATGAGGCTATCTGGGAAAAGTTGAAAGTCAGCAACAAGCACACATCAATAAAAAATTAATAATAAAAATTAATTGGTTACATTAGACTTCTGGTATTATAATCTATTTAATTTATCTGTTACTTATTACCTATACTTAAGAATAAACTGAATGATTACAGGCCATGTAGATAGTCAAGAGTTTAAAAAAATTATATAGTCCATATTTTTCTTTGTTCTTTTCCTTTTGTTTTCCTGGGGAGGATATATCTTGGTGAACAGGGAGATATCTTAATCTGCTGGTTCACATGTGGACTGAATTTTAAACCAACTAGTTGAATAAGCAAAGAGTGTTATTTATAACTTTATAAAATATTACAAGAGATCTATGGTAACATTAATTCATTGCTAATTCAGCATCAAAAATAATTTCCTGTATTTGTAAAGTATGTGAATTACTGATGACTAGCAGCACAATGCTGATAACTTTGGGAAAAAAATAGCCACTGAAAATTAAGCAGCTAAAAAGACTTCAATTTGTATACTAATAACTTCTTTATATATTTGGAGAAATATAACCATTGATACTGTATTGAGTTTAATGATTGTCCCCTCAAAGATATGCACACCTACAACTAGAAACGTTATTTAGAAAATGTTATTTAGAAAAACAGTCTTTCCAGATGTATTTAAAATAAGCGACTCAAGAGAACATCATCCTAGGATAATTTAGGTGGACCCTAAGTTCAATGACAAGTATCCTTACAAGAGACAAAGTGATGTATCTACAAGCCAAGATTTGTAGTAATTTGTTATGAAACCCCTTAGGAAATGAATACTGATACTTTAGCAACAAAGGAAAATTTGAAAAGCAGGAATAATATTTTCTAAATTTATTGTTATTAATCGGTTATCACAGCATTGATCACCATTTTATTATTCTATTCCACAATGTGGTCTCACAACTACTTAATCTTAAAATTGATAGATATCTTTAAATGTAGCCTACAATTACTATACTTTCTTCTTGTTAAATAAAGGACATTCAGGATAAAATGGTTAACTCTCATGCCTGCTATATATATAAACTATATGAATAGCTAAAGGGATAAAACATAGTTTTATATTTTCTCTAATCTGTATAAGAAATGTGTGATGCTGATGATTTTCCTGGTATACACCCATATTATTTATTTCAATTATTTTAATGGAGAAATATATGATTATTATTTAAAATGTGTCACAAAGAAAAGAATAAAAATTAAAACATAAATAAGTACCCCTAGACCAACATCTCTAAGATTACCACATTTGATTTTTCAATATTGAGGCGGATTGTTTTCCAAAAGTTCCCACAGCAATATCTCTATTTCCATATACATTTCCAAACCTATCCATTTTTGTCAAATGTTAGAATCAATTTTGTTTCCTTGGATTTGAAGGAAGGAGGATTTTGACTGTTCTGTACAATATGTATGACAGAAGTGATATTTTTCAGAGATCTGAAACATTCTGAGGCTATGAGATCATAACATTCTGAGGCTATGCCACTAAAAAGAGATTCTCTCTCTCTGTCTCTCTCTCTCTCTCACCCTCAACCAAGTAACCTAGCTTCTATGTAATGAAGAAATCCTAGTCACATGGTTAGACTCCTTGTAGGTGTTCCAGTGACCATCCCAGCTAAGGTCTTAGCCAAGGTCTAGGATCAACTCCTAGCCAAGTGAGTATGTGAGTTTTCAAATTCCCTAGACTTTAGGCTTTCAGGTGAGGTACTATCCCTTGGAGAAGTAAAATAAGCTGAGCACTATGTGAATTCCTGGTCGACAGACTCCATAAGCATTGTAAAGGGTTATTTTATGCCACTAAGTTTTGGAGTAATTAGTTATGTAACCACAGCTTCTGGAACAATTATGTTTCTGTATCATTTTCAGTGAATATCATTATATCGACTGACTCATATTCAGTATAAAGAACAAAAGCATAGTGGCCATATGTTGATTAAACACCTTTGATGAAAATAACCACAAATCAGCACAGTAAGGGAAAAGCCAGTATAATGTTTCATTCTGAAAGAAGGCTCAACAACTCTTGTAAATATTTTTTTAAAAAAAGAAAAAGCAAAGTTTTAAGCGTATGTTAGTTCAATGACATGAGAACTGTTGAAGATTTGGTTGAGAAAATTTTTATTCCATGTCTCTGGTAGAAGTGCATATACTATATACGGAGGTTTTTTGAAGTGAGAAAAAATGTAAGAATATATTAGCATCGTATCAGTGTTTTTAAAGCTTTTGCTTAGTATGTGTTATTCTCTCTTATTGACTATAAAGCAAACATGTGCAACAATACTTTTGAGGTACTCTCTGGATGACTAAATTACATCCAGCAAATATTTAGAGATGCTAAAATACGTACATTTGTTTTTCACAATAGGTATCTCTTATCTCAATTATTTTCTATGTAGTCTAAATTTAAAATAATATTTTTATCAAGATTTATGTTTGTGTTCCAAAATTGCTAATGGGAAATTATCCCTACTTTCTTTGCTTGTGACTAAAGGCAATGTGATTACAACAAGCTGTCATTTACGTAATAACACATGTCCATACACACACACATATTTGGCATTAATATAATTATCTATTTTTCAGGATTTAAAATCAATTATAAACCAAAGTTCACCAATTCCTGGTAATGACATTATATCCTTAAAAATGTAAGCTTGGAAACAGAACACATGAGAAGAAATAAATTAAACAGTTCACTAAATAAGTTACATGTTTTATATAAAACTAATTAATCTTATAAATAAACCTAAGCAAAGAACAAAACGAGAACACATTGTTTATAAATTATTCTTATGCATCATATGTTTTAAAATATATCAGATGTTTCTAAAGTTATAAAAAGCAACAATACTGAAGCATTGTCTGAAAAACAATTATATTTGGAGTGAAGTATAGAAAGTTTTACATTAGAAGTATGTTACTTTGGTTTATTTTTATCTGTAGAAATATGAGGTCAGTGATTATAATCAGCATGTAGGGCATTTCTTTATGAAGTTTGAAACCACTAAACATCTTATGGAAGCTATTGATCTCTAACTTAATCTTTAAAAATATTAAAACTATTGTTTTTTTCTGGTCATAAGCATAAACTAAGGGATTGAATTATGTTTTCAAAAGCACTCCTATCATCCTAGGCTATCAAGAAAATTAATTTGTATAATCCATTTTTAATTACCTCAGGCTGGTAAAACCTTCTAAATTTTGCTATTTATTTAAAATCGGAAACTATAAAGTGAATAATAATTTTTATTAACCTAATTGCCTAGGTCATTAATGAACTGCTAGTTGTCACATCTAAGAGATATGTGTCAGTCTTCGTCACCCTCTTATTCTCAACTTTAATTGATATTTTTCCCCTCTCTTCTTGAGCTCTCTCTTGTCTTCCACTCTATTCTGCGGTGTCTCTCTCTCTGGCCTGTCCTGTTTAGTCTCTGTGATCTTCTCTTATTCCATCTACCATTTACATGTTGGAGCTCCTGAAATGGCTCTTTTCACTGTACACAATCTGTAAGGAAGAATCATAAATTTATCTGGGTTGAATTTACAAATTGTACCATTCAGCTGGTGAGTGAGTTAGAGGAATTAACAGTGGAGAAAATATTAATACTTTCTCTCATGGGATTGTCAGACAGCTTTAAAGAAACAAGTTTAAATAATTTTCAGTAAAGTTTACTTCCAATTTATTTGCTTGTTCACACACACAAAAAAACTAAGGTTGTTACAGAATAGATTATGGCCAATCCTTTATTTCTGATAATAGAAGTATATCTATCTATTATCTATCTATCCTCTCTCTCTCTCTCTCTCTCTCTCTCTCTGCATATACGTCTCCATATGCTTTTCCATGTGACTTTTCCAATGCCAGAAACAGATGATAGAATATATTTCCCTGCTACTTTGATGTTTGGTTTAGCTCAGTGAGTCGTTTTGCCACATGATATGATGAGAGCAGATATTGTACATGTTACTGTAAGCTTTGGTTTGCTTTTTTGTGTTTTTCTCTAATCCACCATGAGAGAAACAGAGACATTGGTTGCAGAATGAGGAAAATTGAGGAATAAATCTGAACCCAAATTTCAGCATGGAAGCAAGCCTTGGCAAGCCAGCAGAAACAGAGCTGACTCATAGATACATGTGCAAGAATTTTTTTTAAATTTAAATGTTAAAAATTTGAAGGTTTGGTATTCATCGCTTTGCAATTAAAACTAATATGGTAACAATGGATACTAATCCCAGGATATCAGTAAATCATCTGTGTAAGCAAAATGCACACCATAATAGTCTTACCCCAGGATGATATTTTAATTTTCTGACAGTGTTATCCTCCTCCTCTACTCCATTACCCACAGTATTGTTTAAACAAAAGCAGTGCATTATTTTTTATTACATACAGTAAGAAATAGTGAACTAATGTTTATTTATTGCCTAATGAGGCAAATTTTAGTAACACATTAAAAAATACCTCTTCGTTTATCCCTTCTTACCAGCACAATTACAACGTGAAATTATTACAAGATAAATTAAAGAAAGTCTGATTCACAACTATAAGAGAAACTTCTAAATCTTTCACGAATCCAGTTGTTGCGTAAGCATTACTATCTGCCAGTACCATAGAAAAACCCAATTTTTTTTCCAAACAAAAATTCTTTTAACCTTCTTCTTAAAAATCTGTCACTCTTGTGTTTATTGTGTGAAATTGTAGCACACCAATCAACAGAACTAGATAACTGAGAAACAAATTTGACTTGCAACAATTACCATCTTATACTAATTTGGCATCTTTGTGTTTTGTTTTATTTTATTTTATTTTATTTATTTATTTTTTTGAGATGGAGTTTTTCTCTTGTTGCCCAGGCTGGAGTGCAATGTTGCCATCTTGGTTCACCGCAACCTCTGCCTCCCAGGATCAAGTGATTCTCCTGCCTTAGCCTCCTGAGTAGCTGGGATTACAGGTATGTGCCACCATGTCTGGCTAATTTTGCATTTTTAGTAGAGACAGGGTTTCTCCATGTTGCTCAGGCTGGTCTGCAACTCCAGACCTCAGGTGATCTGCCCACTTCGGCCTCCCAAAGTGTTGGGATTACAGGTGTGAGCCACTGCGCTCAGCCAACATCCTTGTGTTTTTAAGCTCATCTTTTTTTCTCTAACCAAATAATCAATCTCAGAGATTCAACACTATGTTTCTTAAAAAAATACAATATTCTAATATATGCTTTCTGCATTCCTTATTATTACACCTTCTAGCAACAACACTGAGACTAGTTTTAACTATTATTATTTTTCAAGCATTTCAGCTGTAAAAGAAAAAAGTATTTGAAGCAGCTCTCAATCACATTAGAGGTTTATTTTTCCAATGTTGAGGACACACCCACGTAAAGGAGACATGTGCCACAGTATGATCTGTGGCCTGAGCTCTTCTCCAAAGAGGGTTTTGCGGGCTTCAGTATTTAAAAGGGAAAAAGTTGGCGGAGGGGGCAAAAAGAAGAAAAAGGCAGAGTAGACAAATGGGGCAAGTAGTTATATTCATTTGAGGCCTTGATTAGTACTCACTGAATCTACATGTTGTGGTGAAAAGATGGGGCAGAGGAATAGTCAATTATGTATTCATCTCACGCTCAGTAAATCTGGACTTTACTTAACATAATGTAAACACAGAGTTGAGGAAGAAGTCAAATACGCATTCGTCTCAGGGTGAGCAGAGGGGTGATTTTTAGTCTCCTCTTGTCCCATACCTATGAAGATAAACAATTCATCTACATTGTCAGGATGAGGGAGATCACCTAGTAAGATGTATGTATAGGAACAAAAGGGAAAGGCAGGTTTTCTGTGACTCCATTTCCAAGCATAACTTTTCCTTTTGGCATATTGAGTTTGGGGTCCCAAGATTTTGTTGTCCTTTCACACAAACATTGTTCTAAGCACTCTATATTAACCAAATTTAATTCACATAGCAATCCTGTATTTGTTTATTTTTGTTGTTGTTGTTATTTTATCATTCCCCTACCCAATCCTATGTTAGAGATGAAGAAATTGAGGCACAGAGATACTTAGTTTCCCAGGTACATATAGCTCACATGTGTCAGGGCAGAGATTTGAAAATACGCAACCCATTTCAAGAGTCTAGAAGTAGTTAATTTAGTCATTATCCATCCTATATTGCTCCCCTATGCTGTGTAATAATAAATAGATTATGTTGCTCTTCTTCTTATAAACCTTCTGTGAAGCTTCTTATCACCTTTAAAATAACATGATGTAGGTCTTATAATATGACAAGATCCTCTATGATTTACTCCTTCCTCTCTCTCTCTTACTTCACATCCATTCTAAAATTGTGCTTAGTAGACAAATGGAGCAAACTTCTTACACTACATCGTTACTGGCCTTCCATGTTCTCTCCCTTGTGAGATCTGAGAAATTTGCCCCTTATCTTGTTTACTGTGAAAACTTTCATTCTTTCTTTAGGATTTATCCCTGAAGCTGAAGCACGTACTAAGAGATTCTAAATCAGGCAGCCAAACTGGAATAGAAATCTCTCCTGCAGACTCTCGTAAGTCTGTGTGTTATGAGAATTTCTTGTAGATACTTGGTCTTCTCTCTGTCTCACCCATTAGAGTTGGAGCTATTTTGAGTCAGAAATTTCGAGTTCATTTTTGTTTCCCTAGAGCCTAGAAAAATATTAATTTTAAATCATTTTAATAATTTTGTGGCAGTGTATAAACATAGTAAGATAATATAAAATACTACATGTATATGAACTATTATGATAATTAAATATCTCAGTTTGTTGCATCGCATTTTTTTTTTCATTGAGTAAGACTTTTAGTGTCTGGTGTTCTGACACAGTCCTAGGGAGATTGGGGAATATCACAGAATGAGTGTGGCTATCAACAACACAAAAGCCTCACTTACTCTCAAAAGTCCTTTTGTTAGAATAATATGAAACAGCCAGTGGAAACTGAAAAGTTGAGTATGATTTTAAAAAGAAAAGAAGGACGTAATAAAAAGGATTGGAAAATACAGTAATAAATAGTGAGAATTTTGATATATTGAAATGAAATCCCCACCACCTTTGGTCTCTATCTATTGTAGGGCTTTTGAAAAGGATGAAACGATATGAATTAGTGTATTCAAGCTCTTTCAATGAGATTTCAACAATATGTCTCAGCAAGAAATAAATAACTGAGGTGTATTTTTCCCACAGATTCCTCTCTTCTTTGAAGGGAAGATAAATTAACTATAACACCTCTCTTTGCTTGTGGTTCTGAACTCACCAAAGTTGTAAGAGCAGTTTTTGTCCACATGCTGTTTCTGTTTTTTTTTTTTTTAAGCCAAGTCAGTGACTGACCTCGCCACCTTTTCCATCCCTTACAGGTGATTAGAATGAGAATCTCATGACATTTCAAGTTGACCAATTAACAAGTGACCCAGGACTATTTTGAATCATATCTGTAGTTTTCCAGAAATGGTAAATCACACATGCACACACACAGAAAATATATGGGAGTCGCTAATGTTAAAGATGATACATCTATATACTTGCTCATTGAGGAGTGCTTATTTGGAATTTTTCTTTATTTTCTACATTTCAGAGGGCAGATGTTGTGTCACTGCAATGATGCAATGGATATAAAAAACAAGTGTGATGGCAGGACCCTCAGAGCCCATTGAACCCACAAATTGATACAATAGTTTTCTACCTCTCATGTGTTTACTGTATCTCTTGAAACTGAAGTAGAATCAAATTTAGATGCTGGGATTCACATGTAGATAAAAGCAAATTTTCATTATTTTCTGCACACAAGCTTACATTTTAATTTATTTCCCCAATTTGCCTAAGCAAAAATTTTATTTTATTTCAATTCAGTATACTCAGTCAGATCTAGTGATTTGATTAATATTGTCATTATTGTCCAATTCATAGTTTAATCACTTCGGGGGATACAGGCAGTCTTTCATTGTTTCTTCCCACTTCATCTGTCCCTTCTTTTCACTCAAGGGCATATGCTGGTCACCCAAGCACTGATGTAGTAAACAGTGTCCTCATAAATCTCCAACTGTTGAGTCATCTCTTGATTAGTTTAATTTATCTTGGCGTCCTGGCTAGCAGATGTTCTCTGCTTTGCTGGTCTGTGCTGGTGCTGCCTGCTTTGCCCCTCTGTTCTGCTGTGTATAATCCTGGCCTTTACTGCTGCCTACTGCTGCCAATTGTGCACAGCAAAATTCTACCTTCCCTCAAAAGGAAGCTCTTTTTCATTTCCTCATGAAACCTTTGGCTTATTAATCATTCAGTGTTCTACAAGAAAAGCTCCCAAGTGTTTCTCTCCACCACATCAGTGCATGTTTTGTTTGTAAAGCTGTCCTCAGGATAATCCCACAGGATAATCCTCCCATTTCTTGACTACTGTTCCAAAGATTGTTCCAATCTTAGTGTGAATCTTAGTGACATCTTATACTGGATGTTAGGTTTTATGAAAGCTTTTAAAATGAATGAAAACTGTATTTCTGATTTGAATTGTGATAGAAAGAGCTCTAAAATGCTACCCTTATGCTTTTCTACCAAAATCCATGCAATACTGTTTATAAGTCAAGTCTGCAGTCCCCAAGTCACAGTCCAGTACCAGTCTGTGGCCTGTTGAGAACTAAGCAGCCCAACAGGAGATGAGTGGTAGGAGAGCCAGTGAAGCTTCCTCTGTGTTTACAGCCACTCCCCATTGTTTACATTACTACCTGAGCTCCGCCTCCTGTCAGATCAGTGGGGTATTAGATTCTCATAGGAGCCCAAACCCTGTTGTGAACTCTGCACGCAAGGGATCTAGGTTGTGTGCTCCTTATGAGAATCTAACTAATGCCTGATGATCTGAGGTGGAACAGTTTCATCCAGAAACCATCCTCAGCCCCAGCACCACCTTCTTTGGAACAGTTTCATCCAGAAACCATCCTCAGCCCCAGCACTCCCTTCTGTGGAAAAATTTTCTTTTAGGAAACCTTCCTGGTGCCAAAAAAGTTCTGAGCCACTTGTTTATATGATGAAATATGAAACCCACGATTGTTACGTTACATGACAAAGGGATGTGGCATATGTAATTAAGGCTACCAATCAGTTGATTTTGACTTATTCAAAAGAGAGAATATCCATGTGGGCCCAATCTAGCCAAATGAGCCATTTAAAAGGCGAGTTTTCTCTAATTCATGATAGAAAGGGACATACGATAGATTTGAAGCATTAGAAGGATTCTTAAGTACTATTGCTGGCTTGAAGATGGAAGGGAGCCTGCAGCAGGGAATAAGGGAGCCTAGAAGCTGAGAGCAGGCCCCAGCCAATAGCCAGGAAGGAAATGGTGGCTTCAGTTCTACAACTGTATGCTGCAGAATTCTAATTAACAACCTGAGTGACCTTGGAGGCATAGTCTTTGCCAAAGTCTCCAGACAAAAGTTCCACCTGGACAGCACTTTGATTTCAGCCTTGCAATACTTTAAAACATGAGCATTCAAGCCAGGCCAGACTTCTGGCCTATGAAACTGTGAGACAACAAACCAATCATCTATCTCCAATTCTGAGTTGTGTGATTAGTGTTTTTTTTTTTTTATTTTTGAGTAGTTAAGTTTGTGTTATTATTAGATAGCAATAATATCTATATTATTGCTAATAATTATAATATAGATATTATTTGTTATAATATAACATATATTTTATATTTATTTTTATATTATTTTTATTTTTTATATTTTTATATATAAATATATATATAATATAATTTGTTATAATTATAATAATTATAATATAGATATAATATAGATATTATTGCTAATAATTATAACTAATATGTGTAGGTTTCTATGTAAGAGTTTCTTGAAATAGTAAAGCCATGTTGATGCAGACAACCAAAGAGAAAGGTCATGCTAATATAGACAGTAAGATGAGCAAATGTCTCAGGTTTCAGTTCGCATTGGAATTTTTTTTTATACTGAATTGCCGCAAAGAAGAAGCCCACAGATAAAAATGTTTAGTTTCAAAAATGCATGGAAAGAAGATGACATTTCATGCCACTAAAATGTCCTTAAAAAGTGAGATTATTTTAAATATTATATTTTCCCTGCTAGTAAATATATGAAACTTACTCAGGTGGGTTAAGCTTCTTTTTTTTTTTTTTCCAAAGGGGTAATTTACAAAAATAAGATTATTATAAAATGTTTCTTCCACAGTGTGACAATATGTTAGATTGTTTGTACAAATCAAATTCTCTTCTATTAAATTGCCTTTCTTTCTTAATTTATATCTGAACAAAATTTAGCTATGACAGTATGTAAATGTCATTTGTTTCACCCTTGATATAGAAGTCAGACAAGATAATGTCTACAGAAGAAAAAACCATTTTCTTTCAAATTAGTAATCTTGTCTATGTTAAATTTATATATACATGTAATTTTAAAAAGTTAAAAAGTTTTTTAAAAATATACACTTTTTTAAACATTATACTGAACACCACAATTGAGAATTAAATAATAGTTGAAACTATAAATAAGATCTAATTTTGAGGTTGACAATTTAGGGCTTACTGGTTTTATTCTTTTTATTTTAATTTTATTTTTTTGAGATGGAGCTTTGCTCTGTCACCCAGGCTGGAGTGCAATGGCACCATCTCGGCTCACTGTAACCTCCACCTCCTGGGTTCAAGAGATTCTCCTGCCTCAGCCTCCCGAGTAGCTGAGACTACAGGCATGCACCACCACACCTGGCCAAATGTTTTTGTATTTTTAATAGACATGGGGTTTCCCATGTTGGCCAGGCTGCTCTTGAACTCCTGGCCTCAAGTGATCCACCTGCCTCAGCCTTCCAAGGTGCTGGGATATAGGTGTGAGCCACCACCCCAGCTGCTAACTGATTTTAATGTTGGAATTTGATTAATTATTAATATTTAATTTTTATTTTATAAACAATTCATGGTTATTATTAAAGTATGGCTAATGTTAGAAAATTATAAAGAAACAAAATATTTGTGAAACTACCACCCCAAATAATCATGATAGTTTACCAGGATACATGGTGGGGAACTTATTTATTTCAATACAATAGGCTATTTTTTTTTAAGTATGAGATATTTCTGATGAATTTTCTATCTTGTTTTATTTGATGTATTTTCATATTGCTATAACTCTAAAATTTTTAATATATATTTCTGTGTATTTACATATATCAGACCATATACCTAGCCATTTCTCTTTTCAGGAAATTGGTTAAACATTTTGAATTACAGTAAATTATACAGCAATATATGCCTTTGATATATATCTGCCTTTTGTGTGTGATATTGTGCTGTTAATCGCTAGGGCTTTGAATGTGACAAACTGCTACATATAAGCTAGATATTTAAAACAAGTTCTATTTTGAGGATTTACACACGGGATCCAGCAGCACATCAAAAAGCTTATCCACCACGATCAAGTTGGCTTTATCCTTGGGATGCAAGGCTGGTTCAACATATGCAAATCAATAAATGTAATCCATCACATAAACAGAACCAATGACAAAAACCACATGATTATCTCAATAGATGCAGAAAAGGCCTTCAATAAAATTCAACAGCCCTTCATGCTAAAAACTCACAATAAGCTAGGTATTGCTGGAACATATCACAAAATAGTAAGAGCTATTTATGACAAACCCACAGCCAATATTATACTAAATGGGAAAAAGTGGAAACATTCCCTTTGAAAACCAGCACAAGACAATGATGCCCTCTCTCACCACTCCTGCTCAACAGAGTATTGAAAGTTCTGGCCAGAGCAATCAGACAAGAGAAAGAAATAAAGGGTATTCAAATAGGAAGAGAGGAAGTCAAATAGTCTCTGTTTACAGATGACATGATTGTGTATTTAGGAAACCCCATTGTCTCAGCCCAAAACCTCCTTAAGCTGATAAGCAACTTTGGCAAAGTCTCAGGATAGAAAATCAATGTGCAAAAATCACAAGCATTCCTATACACCAATAATAGACAAACAACCAAATCATGAGTGAACTCCCATTCACAATTTCTACAAAGAGAATAAAATACCTAGGAATGCAACTTACAAGGGATGTGGAGGACCTCTTCAAGGAGAACAGCAAACCACTGCTCAAGGAAATAAAAGAGGACACAAACAAATGGAAAAGCATTCCATGCTCATGGATAGGAAGAATCAGTATCGTGAAAATGGCCATACTGTCCAAAGTAATTTATAGATTCAACGCTATCCCCATCAAACTACCATTGACTTTCTTCACAGAATTAGAAAACACTATGTTAAATTTCACGTGGAACCAAAAAAAGAGTCTGTATAGCCAAGGCAACCCTAAGCAAAAAGAACAAAGCTGGAGGCATCACGCTACCTAACTTCAAACTGTACTACAAGGCTACAGTAACCAAAACAGAATGTTACTGGTACCAAAACGGATATACATACCAATAGAATAGAACAGAGGCCTCAGAAATAATACCACACATCTACAACCATCTGATTTTTGATAAACCTGATAAAAACAAGCAATGGGGAAAGGATTCCTTATTTAATAAACGGTGTTGAGAAAACTGGCTAGCCATATGCAGAAAACTGAAGCAGGACCCCTCCCTTACACTTTATACAAAAATTAACTCAAGATGGATTAAAGACTTAAATGTAAGACCTAAAACCTAGAAGAAAACCTAGGCAATACCATTCAGGACATAGTTGTGGGCAAAGACTTCATGACTAAAACACCAAAAGGAACAGCAACAAAAGCGAAACTTGAAATATGGGGTCTAATTAAACTAAAGAGCTTCTGCACAGCAAAATAAACTATCATCAGAGTAAACAGGCAACCTACAGAATGGGAGAAAATTTTTGCAATCTATCCATCGGACAAAGGGCTAATATCTAGAATCTATAAGGAACTTAAATAAATTTACAAGGAAAAAAAAAACAACTGCATCAAAAAGTGGGCAAAGGATATCAACAGGCACTTCTCAAAAAAAGACATTTATGCAGCCAATGAACATGTAAAAAAGCTCATCATCACTGGTCATTAGAGAAATGCAAATCAAAACCACAATGAGATAACATCTCACACCAGTTAGAATGGTGATCACTAAAAAGTCAGGAAACAACTGATGCTGGAGAGGATGTGGATAAACAGGAACACTTTTACACTGTTGGTGGGAGTGTAAATTAGTTCAACCATTGTGGAAGACAATGTGGTGATTCCTCAAGGATGTAAAACCAGAAATACCATTTGACCCAGTGATCCCATTACTGGGTATATATATACCCCAAAGGTTATAAATCGTTCTACTATAAAGACACATGAACACGTTTGTTTATAAATCATTTTACTATAAAGACACATGAGCACTATTCACAATAGCGAAGACTTGGAACCAATCCAAATGCCCATCAATGATAGACTGGATAAAGAAAATGTGGCACACATACACCATGGAATACTATGCAGCCATAAAAAAGGATGAGCTTATGTCCCTTACAGGGACATGGATGAAGCTAGAAGCCATCATTTTCAGCAAACTAACACACAAACAGAAAACCAATCACCGCATGTTCTCACTCAGTGGGAAGTGGGAATTGAACAATGAGAACACATGGACACAGGGAGGGGAACATCACACAGTGGGGCCTGTCAGGAGGTGGGGGGCTATGGGAGGGATAGCACTGGGAGAAATACCTAATGAAGATGATGGGTTGATGGGTGCAGCAAACCACCATGGCACGTGTATACCTATGTAACAGATCTGCACATTCTGCACATGTGTCACAGAACTTAAAGTATAACAATAATAAAAAAGTTATATTTTATAATTTTTTAAATTTTTGAATGCTAATATGGTTCATTATTTGATTTGATAATTATTACTGTATTTTTACCCTCTTTTGCCCATTTCATGTTTAATATTTATCTAACATTTTGATTTGTATAAAATAGATTAAACTTTATTTACAATAATGAACTACCTATCATTTCAAGTTGATTATGTAAAATTTTAAAATGTTCAAGCAGAATTGCTTTTCAATTAAAATATGTTAATGGTATTTAACATTTTAAGAATAGCTGCATTATTTCAATTAGTTAATTCTCATTACTTTTTAATCTCAATAGTGTTCTGACAATTTCTAGCTATTTTTAGCATGATGAAAATTCAGAGAAATATTAAAATGTGTTTTCATATTTCTATTTTGTTCTGACCCTCTCAAAAACTTTAATACATTTTCTCTAACGATTATGGTGGCATTAATATTCAATCAAAATCATCCAATACATATGTATTATTGCATAAATTTATACTATACATTTATGCATAAATTATAAGTGCTTTTGAGCTGTTTCTAACATTTTCTGTACCTGACATCAAGACAACTCTTTTAATATTATTACTATTACTACTACTTCTAGTAACTACTTAGAGTTATACTAATAATAATTCATACACTATGTTCTAAGCACCAGCTTAAATATTCACATGAATGAAACAGATTTTTTGTTTTCTATATTATTATTGGGAGAATAGGCTTTAGCTTCCACAAAACTTTTAGGTTGTAGTTAAATTTTTTGTAACTCTTCTTAGGTAGCCTAAAAACTTCTCATAGAATTAGTAAACATTTGAAGCCTATATATTTAGGCAAAAAAACTCCAAAAACAAAAAGGAAAGACAAACAGAAAGAAAGATCATCTTTCTGTTAATGATTTCAATGAAACCAGTGCCTTTCATATTTTTGTTTGAAAATTTTAAAATAATAATTGTATATAGGAAATTCTGAGTATGACACACACAAAAGCACACAAGCAACCTTAACCTCCAACCACATGTAATGATGCCTCACAATTACAGGCAATGGTATAGCTTGCATCTTGTGATTAGCACCTCTCTTCTTTTTCTAATTCATGTGGCAATCAGAGAGCTGAGAAATCAAATTCCTGAAGATAGTCCATACCAGAAAGAACCTGTCAGGAAATAGTGCTCCCGGCTGTGCCTCTGGAAATGTCTTACTAGTGTTGAAAACTTCACTAGCCTGACTATCTAGGTGATACTTTTTTAAAAAATTTAAAATAAAAATTACATGAAACTATTCTTAGAAACTTTCATATCTATCTCATACAGACTACTTATAAAAAGACAATTGTTTTTTCAAACAGAGAAAACGAAGCCATTCTACATTTGTGATAAGCAGTATGACATTTCTGTTTTAGTGACTCCAGAAGTGCCCTATTTTTTACCAAATTGATCACTCCTTCGCCCTAAGCATGGCAAAAGTTCAGCCAATTTCACTTGGCATTTAAAAAAATATTTCTGCTTCATACTAATGTGCAGTTGGGTGGCATATATTTATCATTCTTTGCGTTTATTTGATTTTGGCCATCAGATACAACTTTGTGTGTTTTTACTATGTTTCTTGCAAGTTTGTTAGTAATGTCTTGATCACTTGTCTGTTATTTTAGAGATCTGTATTTTTAAATAATGTGTTAAATTAAAAAAAGCAAATTTTAGACTAGTCTAAAATGTTTATTCTATCAGTCATTCATTCAATTCTCCATTTATTCATGTGTACGAGGCAATTTATTACAGACCGTGCGCCAGCACCAAAAACACTGCAATCATCTTGCAAACATGATTCTGGTCCTAGGAGACAGTTTGTTCAAGGAAAATCATGTTAATGAGACTACTATATAGCATCGTGAAAGTTATGGTAAATTCAAATATAAGCTGCTATGAGACCAAGAGGGAAAGGGTAGTTAAAATATCAAAATCATTCTGGAAACATTTATCTAAAATAAGAAGTATCTTTGCCCAGAGTTGTTAATTCAGCTAATGTCTGAATAAAAACAAACTCTGATCAGTCATTTTATTTTTGTGTTTTTAAACAGCATGTATGTGTATTCTTTTCATAAAGAATTTCCTGATTTTCTGAAAATTTTTGTGTCTAGCTGATATACTTGACTCCCAGAGGTAGATCATTTGTATTTGCTGACATATATTAAATGTTATTCAAAGGTTTTTTTACCCACAAAAATACTTAGTTTTGACTTATTTCTAACCCAACATCTGCAACCCTGGCTGCCTAAGTTTCATTAATGACAGGAGTAGCTTTGCTTAGTGTTTTCTCACATTATGAATCAATTATTATTATGTTTCTTTCCCTGTTCAAATTTACTTATTCTTTTTTTTTTAATTTGGAAATTTTTTATTTTTTATTTTTTATTTTATTTTATTTTATTTTATTTATTTATTATTATTATTATTATTATACTTTAAGTTTTAGGGTACATGTGCACATTGTGCAGGTTAGGTACATATGTATACATGTGCCATGCTGGTGCGCGGCACCCACTAACTCGTCATCCAGCGTTAGGTATATCTCCCAATGCTATCCCTCCCCCCTCCCCCCACCCCACAACAGTCCCCAGAGTGTGATGTTCCCCTTCCTGTGTCCATGTGTTCTCATTGTTCAATTCCCACCTATGAGTGAGAATATGTGGTGTTTGGTTTTTTGTTCTTGCGATAGTTTACTGAGAATGATGATTTCCAATTTCATCCATGTCCCTACAAAGGACATGAACTCATCATTTTTTATGGCTGCATAGTATTCCATGGTGTATATGTGCCACATTTTCTTAATCCAGTCTATCGTTGGACATTTGGGTTGGTTCCAAGTCTTTGCTATTGTGAGTAGTGCCACAATAAACATATGTGTGCATGTGTCTTTATAGCAGCATGATTTATAGTCCTTTGGGTATATACCCAGTAATGGGACGGCTGGGTCAAATGGTATTTCTAGTTCTAGATCCCTGAGGAATCGCCACACTGACTTCCACAATGGTTGAACTAGTTTACAGTCCCACCAACAGTGTAAAAGTGTCCCTATTTCTTCACATCCTCTAAATATACTTATTCTATGTCTTCAAAGGTAGATTCTTTTCAGTTGAATGGCAGTTTTCAGCTGGCAATTTGTCAAAGAGTCATACTAGTAATATTTTTAAAAATGACACACATATTTATAATAAGTACGTGTAATCTGAAAAATAATTTCTGCCGTCAAATGTCATTTTGTAAAGAAAATTCTACATTTTCATATACAAATAATGATACACTTAAAATATATACATCTTAATTGAGATATTGTTAAAATATCAAGAAATAGATACTTTCTTATAAGGAAAACCCTGTGCTGATTCCATTGGGTTGTTTATTATATAGCTTGATATCTACATAAATTGAAAAATAAAAGCACCACTATTTCTTTAAAATGTGTAATATTGACATGTAGGATAAATATTGTTTTTACTGTGATTGTATAAAAGTATATATGATTATATAAAAGTGTGCATGATGTACACTTTTATATAATCACAGTAAAAACATAATATGATTACTTAAGATAATTTTTGTATTGTGTTGTAAAGTGTGTTTCAGTTCATGAAATCTTTCCTGTAGCAATCACAGCCTCCTGGGGTTCCAAAATAATCTAGAAGAGAGTAATAACAAAGAAATTTTGTGGATCTTGGGGGAATAAGTTATCTTGATAAAAAGAGAAAATTCTCTGGAGACAGAAATTTGAGCTCTTAAACATTTCCCATATGAGTACAAATCACATAAAACACGTATTTCCAAGGTACCCCATTAGAAAATTTTTAATACTTGTGTCTTTTGAATTCTAATAATTTATATGACATTCATAGCAAATAGAATGTATTTCTTGAAGATTACAGTTTACTGTAACATTTATATACCATGATATTCCCTTTTCTTTAGCGTCAGAGAAGCTATGTGCAAGGGGAATATTAGGAATTAGCTTGAATCTCTTAAAATAGTTATCTAGGCCATCATCACAAAATTGAAGGCATGCAACCCATGGGATTTATAGGATAATTCATTGTGATTGTGGTACAGGAATTGTACATTATAAATTTACATATGTGTGTCCGTGTGGTGAGTATGTACAGAAACACATATAGAATCATATTCTTTAATGTCTATCTTATCTGTACATTAAAATATAAAAAGTCTATATGGGTTTGGTATTATACCTACAGTTTTTCAACATCATAAGTAAGTATGGAGATAGTGGAAGTTAATGTTCCAATTTTTAATTTACTAATAGGAGTGTATGGATAAAAAAGTTTTCGAGATCATTGATCTAATCAAAAAGAAATACAAAATTAAACATTTACTTGTAGTTAATTAGATGATCAATCAATCTGTCAGGAAGATAACTGCTAAATTGTTAATATTGGATTAGAATATGGGGAGGCAGACATAATTTGCCAGCATAATTTGCATGATTTAAAATATAAGCCTTGGACTTCCAGCTTCTGGTCTGGCATGTGAGAAGCCTGGAAGTCATTAATCCATCCTAACAACTAGTAAAGACTGAACAAACTGAGAAATCAATAATTCTTCTTAGATCTGTCAGAGAAGAGAGGTCATAGGACAAACTTCAGCCCTCAAAACTGGAAATACAGACAGGCAGATTCAGAATATCACAACTTACTGGAGCCAAAACCTATAAGAAACTTCTGCAGGAACCAGTGTGGGGGTAGAAAAATCTAAACTGTAATCTACAGATTACTAGGCCTCAGTGTGGCAAGTTTTAGTTAAAATCTGCAGAGGGACCCAGACTAAGGAGATACCCACACTTTTCTGACTTTTATTTCCAGGTGCTCAACCAGACTCCCACAGTGAGCACTGGAGAAAAAAATCCTCTCCTGCTTTTAGTCAGGAGAGAGGGGAGTAGCCATTCTGAAATAACACCAGAACTTTCTGTTCTCCTAAACAAGACCTGCTCTCAAGAGAAACTGTTTTACCCAGGTTTAAGCTATGGGCTATTTTTTAATTTTCAGAGCCTAGCCTACCTGGGAGATAGGAAATAACTAATTCCAGTCTACTCTAGCCTATCACGTGAGAGATGGAAAATGCCTGCTATAGTTTGTCTGTGTTCCCCTCCAAATCTCATCTTGAATTCCCACCTGTTGTGGGAAGGACCTGGTGGGAGGTAATTGAATCATGGCGTCAGGTCTTTCCCTTGCCGTTCTTTTGATAGTGAGTAAGTCTCACTGGATCTGATGGTTTTAAAAAGGGGAGTTTCCCTGCACAAGCTCTCTCTTTGCCTTCCACCATCCATGTCAAACATGACTTGTTCCTCCTTTCCTTCTGCCATGATTATGAGGCCTCCCCAGCTATGTGGAACTGTAAGTCCATTAAAACTCTTTCTTTTGTAAATTGCGAAGTCTTGGGTATGTCTTTATCTGCAGTAAGAAAATGGACTAATACAGCATCCAACTCCAGCACTCTCAAGCCTAAGTAGGCTTCCTGTCCCACCTAAAAGATGTGTGTGTGTGTGTGTGTGTGTGTGTGTGTGGAAGAGGAATGAGAACCTGTGAAGTTCACAGTCCAGAGACACAGGCTCACTAAAAGACTGAGACCTAGTTAGAGATCTACAGAATTCCTCAACCACCACACTTTTCCACATTACAATACTAAATACCTAATTTATCACAGTTCTTTTTATCCAATACTCTATGTCCAGCTATCAATAAAAACTTATGAGAAATACTAAATGTAAAAAACAGTTTGAAGAGACATAATGAGTATCAGAAGCAGACATAGATGTGGTGGGGGTGACAGAATTATGAGACATGAATTTAAAATAACTATGATTAATACAGTAAGAACTCTAATGGACAAAGTTGACAGCATCCAAGAACAGGAAGGCAATGTAAACAGAGAGATTTACATATGTTGTTTGCACACACACACACACACACACACACACACACACTTTAAATATGAAAATCCATGTAGATTCAAACTAAATACATTAGAAAGATTTACCACACTAACTCTAATCAAAATAAAGGTAGAATAACTATATTAATTTCATACAGAGCAGACGTCAGAGTAATAAAATTATCAGAGATTAAATTGGAGAATTACATAAAGATAAAATGGTCAATTCTCCAAGAAGACATAACAATCTTTAATGTGTATATGCTTAACAACAGAATGTCAAAATATATGAGGCAAAAACTAATAGAAATGCAGGGAGAAATTGATAAATCTATTAAGATGATTTGAGACTTTAATACCCCTCTGTAAGAAACGAATAGATCCAGAAGCCAAAAAAATTGTAAGAATATAGCTGAATTCAACAACACCATCAATTAACTGAACATAAGTAACATCTATCAACTACTTCATTCAAAAATGGCAGACTACACGTTCTCAAAACTCACATGGAACGTTCAGTAAGACGAACCACACATTCTGGGCCATAAATTCACCTTATCAATTCACTGTTTTTTAAAAGTAGAAATTATGCAATGTTTTCCTCAGACCACAATGATATCAAACTGATATTAATCAGCAACAGAATGAAAGCTGAAAAATACACATCTGAATAACACATGAATCAAAAAAGAAATCTCAAAAGAAATTAAAAGAACATTTAAACAAAATAAAAATGTGAATGCAACCTATCAAAAGCTATGGTATGTAGAAAAAGCAGCGCTTAGAGGAAAATGGATAGCATGAATGTCTATATTAGAAGAGAAGAAAAATATGAAATGAATAATCTTTCACATTAAAAATATAAGAATAAGAACAAATTAATTTCAAAGTAGAAATCATTAAAACTCAAAACAGGGAATAAATATAGAAATACGATGAAGACCAAATATGGTTCTTAGAGAAAAAAAAATATAAAATCAATAAGCCTCTAAACAGACTATGAAATAAAGGAAAAATATACAAATTACTAAAAATCAAAAGTGAGGAATGGGATATCACTATACATCAAGTATATGAACAACTCTGTGCCCATAAATTTGGTATCATGGATAAAATGGAACAATTTCATGATAGACATAATCTACCAAGGCTCACACAAAATGAAACAGGCAATTTGAATAGGCTTGTTGCTATTAAAATAACTGAATAAGTAATTAATGACTTTGCAAGACAGAAACACCAGAACCAGATGTATTCTATTATAAATTCTACCAAAAATTTAAGGAAGAAATTATGCTCTTATCTAAAATCTCTTTCAGAATACAGAAGCAGAGAGAATACTTGTTAGTGCATCCTCTGCAGTCAGTATTACAAAATGCCAAAAATAGACAAAAACATTAAAAGAAATGAAAACTACATACCAATATCTCTCATGAACATGGACACAAAAGTTCTCAACAAAATGTTAGCAAATCAAATTCAGCAATATATAAAAAGGATTATAGACTCCAACCAAGTGGCATTTATACCAGGTATGTAAGGTTGGTTCAACATTTAAAAATCAATTTGTGTAATCCATCACATCAACAAATTAAAGAACAGAAATCACATGATCCTATCAATAGATGCAGGAAAAGCACTTGATTTCTGGCTGTGTGGCTCAATGGATAGTGCATTGAACTTCTAGAGACAAAAAGCACTTGACAAAATCCAACATCTATTTATGACAAAAAAGAAAACAAAAACAAAAAGCTACAACTTCTCGGTAAACTATATATACAGGAAGACTTTTTTCAACTTGATAACGAAACAGACAAACAAAAACCACACACACACAAACTGACATCATACTTACTGGTAAGAAACTAGAAGTTTTCCACTAAAAAACAAGGCAAGGATGTCCCCTCCCCACTCCTTTTTAACAATGTAGTAATAGTCCTAGCTAATGTAATAATTCAATAAAAGGAAATAAAAGGTATACTGATTGGAAAGGAAGAACATATTTTTTTCTGGAAAAGATGATCATCTATTTAGAAACTGCAAAGTGATTGATCCAAAACTTCCTAGAACTAGTAAGGGATTACAGGAAAGTTGTAGGATGCAGGGTTAATATTAAAAAGCCAATGCATTTCTTTACACCAGAAATAAATAAGTGGAATGTGAAATTTAAAACATGGTACTATTTAAAGAAGCACTCCCAAAAATAAAATATGTAAGTATAGGTCTAACAAAATATGTACAAATTCTATATGAGGAAAACTATAAAGCTCTGATAAAAGACATCCAAGAAGGACTAAATAAATTAATATATATTCCATGTTCATTGATAGAAAAACTCAATATTGCCAAGATATCATCTCTTCCAAACTGGATTTATACCTTCAAAGCAATTCCAAACAAAATCCCAGCAATTATTTCGTGAATATTCAAAATACAGTCTCACATAAACATAGTCAACTGATTTTTCACAAAGGAGCTAAGTCAATCAGTAACAATGGAGAAAATGTAGTTCCTTTTTTTTTTTTTTTTTTTTTTGAGGTGGAGTCTCGCTCTGTTGCTCAGGCTGGAGTGCAGTGGAGCAATCTTGGCTCACCACAACCTCCGTCTCCCAGGTTCAAGCAATTCTCCTGCCTTAGCTTCCCGAGTAGCTGGGACTACAGGCTGTGCACCACCGTGCCCAGCTAATTTTTGTATTTTTAGTAGAGATGGGGTTTCACTGTGTTGGCCAGGCTGGTCTTGAACTCCTGACCTAGGGTTCTGCCTGCCTCGGCCTCCCAAAGTGCTGGGATTACTGGCATGAGCCACTGCTCCTGGACTGTTTTTTTTTTTTTTTTTTTTTTTTGAGACACAGTTTCACTCTTGCTGTCCAGGCTAGAGTGCAAGGCACAATCTCGGCTCACTGCAACCTCCGCCGCCCGGGTTCAAGTGATTCTCCTGCCTCAGCTTCCCGAGTAGCTAAGATTACAGGTGCCTGCCACCATGCCTAGCTAATTTTTTTGTATTTTTAGTAGAGACGGAGTTTCACCATGTTGGCCAGGATGGTCTCGAACCCCTGACCTCAGGTGATCCACCTGCCTTGGCCTCCCAAAGGGCTGGGATTATAGGCATGAGCCATCCGTGCCTGGCCCATCCAAAATATTTTTAAAAGCCACTTAAAATTTAACAATAACAAAGTAACACTGACTGAAAAATGGGCAAAAATACCTTACTAAGTAAGATATAAATATGGCCAGTAAGCAAATGGTAAAATGCTCAACGTAATGTGTTGTTAGAGAATTACAAACTATAGCAACAATGGGATATCACTACACACCTATTAGAGAGGCCAAAATCCACCACAATGACAACACCAAACACTGAGAAGGAAATGGAGCATCAGGAACTCTCATTCACTGCTGGTGGGAATGCAAAGTAATACGGCCACTTTGGAAGACAGCTTGGGAGATGGTTCTTACAAATTAAACATATAATCTAGCAACTAGTTTCTTTGGTATTTATTTACCCAAATGAGTTGAAATTTATGTCTATTCAAAAACCTACACATAATTGTTTACAGAAGATTGATTCATAATTGCCAAAACTTGGAAGCAACCAGATGTCCTGCAGTAGGTAAAAGGATAAATAAACTGTGATATGTATAGACAGTGGAATTTTATTCAGCATTGCCTTAGACTATCTTTGCTACTCTAATACAATACCACAAACTGGGTAATTTATAAAGAACAGAAATTTATTTCTCACAGTTCTAAAGGCTGTAAGTCCAAGATCAAAGTGCCAGCATTTGGTATCTGGTGACTGCCTTCTTGCTGAATATTCACATGGCAGAAGGAAGAAGAGAGGTTGAATGATGTGTCTTCACATAACAAAAGATCAAAGGAAAAAGCTGACAAGCCAGCCATATCCTGAGTGAAGCTTCTTTTATAAAGACCTAATCCCACCAATAAGGAAGGAGTCCTCAGAGTTTAATCACCTCTTAAAACCCACATCTTAATATTATCACATTAACAACACGTAAATTTTGAAGGGGAGACATGCAAACTATAGCAAACATTAAAAGGAAGTTAGCTATTTAGGCATGAAAATACATGGGGGATCCCTAAATGCATACTGCTTAATTTCAAAAGTCTATCTGCAAAGGCTACAACTATGTTAGTTCAATCATAAGATATTTTAGAAAAGGCAAAATTGTGGAGACAGTAAAGGCTCAATTATTGCCAGGAGTTAGAGGGGAGAGAGGGAAGAAGGTATAAACAGGTGGAACACAGATAAATTTTAGGCAGTGAAAATAATCTGCATAATATATAATGGTAGATACACGTCATTATACATATGTCCCAACCCATTGAATGTACAACACCAACAGTAAACCTCAATGTAAACTACAGACTTTTGGTGAGAATGATGTGGCAATATAGGTTCATTGATTGTAATAAATGTATCACTTTTGTGCAGGAATTGGATAGTGGAGGAAGCTGTGCATATGTGGGTCAGGGAGTACATGAGACATCTCTCTACCTTTCTACTCATATTTGTGTGGATGTAAAATTGCCGTAAAAAATAAATTCCATCCATATACATATAAATTATATACATATTAAATTCAAGAGTTATGTGTGTGTATAAGGAATGAGTCTGGTGTGGGACAATGTCTGAAGAAACCTTAGGGAAAAGACTACTGGAATAGAATTTCTATGTGGCAAATAAAGAAAGAGGGTAGCAATGGGTGCACACGCACGCACACACACACACACGTGAAGTTGAATGTTAAATGTTTAACATTGCGTGTTCATACATTGTTTCCTGTCTTCCTTGGTACAGTAAATTAATTCCATGAGGGATGAAATGTGATTTTAAAAATCTGGCTTCAGTTTGCAACCCTTAACTTAGTGCGTATTTTTCCTTGAGATATTTCATCAGTGTGCTTGAATAAGCTGTCTTTAAAATAAAATAACAGTAATTAGTTACATATAAAAATCATGATATAAGTTAATTGAGAGAGATATGAATGTACAATCTCTACAGTACTATATTAATTTAATCTAAGAATGTATACACAAACACACACGTATGTGTGTGACCATTGCTACCCTCTTTCACATATCTCTACAGTACTATATTAATTTAATCTAAGAATATATACACACAAACACACACACAAATATATATATATTAATTAAAGCATATTAATTAAATATCTCAAGGAAAAATACACACTAAGTTAAGGGTTGCAAATTGAAGCCAGATTTTAAAAATCACATTTCATCCCTCATGGAATTAACTTACTGTACCAAGGAGGACAGGAAACAGTCTATGAACAAGCAAAACTAAACATTTAACATTCAATTTCAGCCAATTGCTACAGAAACAAACAAACAAACAAAAAACAAAAACAACAACAACAAAAATTATCCTTTGATCCTCCACACTTAATAGGGACCAGACTGTGCTCATTGCTACTCTCTTTCTTCAGGCCTCACCTAGAAATTGTATTGCAACAGTCTTCTCCCTTAGGTTTCTCCAAACATTGTCCCCACACCAGTCTCATTCTTCATACACACACATAACTCCTGAAGAGAAATGACCATCAGTCATAAAACGGCTAAGTTCTGTTGTGCTTTAATAGAAATATTTATGTTTTTGTGAGCCTCTCCTGAAAAAAATAATTAAAGAAAACTTTACAGGAAGTTTTCTTCATGCTCTGTTAATTTATCAATACCCCCAAGCAAGGAGGCAGCAAACAACCTTTTTTTGCCATCAATAAAAAGATACGCTTTTTACAGATACCCCTTTTCTGGATATTGCCATCTCTTTTATAACCTGGGAAGTGAAAGAACCGATTTGATCATTGATTACTGAGATCATCTTAGATTGGATGGATGTAACAGATTAAAAGTGGCTCAGTTTTTGACACTTGTCTCATAGATGTATGACATGTAGATGCTTTGACTTGTGCAATATGGTTGAAGTAACACAATGCCAGTTCTGAGCATATTCTATTAAAGGACGAGTAGGTGCCAATGTGTTCTCCAGGAAACCTGAATCCTCCTGTAAGAAATGCAAATACCTTTTTGTAGAGACATGTGGAGGGGTTCTGGGACTACAGGAAGTGGAAGAGAGGCCCAGAGGAGCCTAGACTTAATAGTCATCCATGCTCACATAGGTATATGAGTAAAGACATCTGAGACCCTCTAACTTTGGCAAGCAATCTGATGAATACCTTGATAAGCCACAGTCAATGCTACATTAAGGAGAGGAATCAACCTGCAAAGCTTAGTCTTGATTCTTGACTCATAAAACTATGAGATCTAATAAAACTATTGTTTTAAGTCACTAATTCTTGGTGATCATTTTTTTATGCAGCATATATAATGAAAACCAACTTTGTACCTGGATATTTTTTCATGTTTGCTTTTTCATTAAGACCCTATGAGGTCTTTCCTACTGTGAAAGTGTATGTTCCCATGTCAATGAGCTGATGTTGCAAGGGGCCAATATAGATTCTGCCAGTTAAAAACTTATGACTATTCTGACTGTGGATTGAAGATATAGGGGAATAACTACAATCGCAGAATATCTATTCACTGGTTTCTCCATGAAATAGACTAATGCAAAAACAAAAACAGAAACAAAACAAAAACCTACTACCCAATTTGCTGTACCATAGCAGCATATTGTAGCTATAGAGATTAGAATTATCTCAAGGATTATTGATGATATTTCTCCAAAGGTAGGGTTAATTCATTTTGCTGAAGACCTAATTACATTGTAACATAGCCACAGGTAAATTTAGGAATATATTTATAGTCACATTTTTGTAACCATGCTGCAGGTTATACTACCAGGCACCTACCTCCTTTTATCTCTCAAATTCACGAGTGCACTGAATTGTTAGAATTTAATTGACATCAATGATTGTAGCTCAAAGGAATAAGAGAAATGTCATTTTAGCTATATATTTTCCCATATACAAGAGGAAGTAAAATGAAAGTTGAGAAAATTAATTCAGATATTTATTATAAAAGGATATTTGCACTTTTAACACTGATATCACTAATTTTTTAAAGAAAAATTCTACCAAAGACTTTGACCTTTAATTTGTAATTTACCTTCAATTTTTGAAAACTAGACTACATCATTGCTTTATTTTAACATCTCTCAAATCTTTCTGAGTGGCTTTGATCTTTGCAATTCCTAAAGAGATTTGTTTTTTCATTATCAACAGAATACATTCGTTTATATATCTTAGAGCATGCTTCACCATTCAGGAACAATTGAAATTAATCCAATCTTCTACTGTCGTTTTTTTCTTCTACTTCATTGGAAAAGCTCTCAATATTAAAACATTGCCACTCTTTTAATATAACTGTTGCCCAATTATCTAAGCAGAGATTTTCACTCCAGTGTTTCACAGTGTTTTCCATTTAATAAAATTCTACCCCTATTGATCTTTACATTGTGCTATCATTGTCTTAAATTTCACAGATAGAAAAATGAATCTGAAACTGATCTTATTCTTATTGAGCACAAAGTTGTCTAATCACTTGTTATTCCATATTTCAAAGAAATGCATCTGTTTTTATTTGTAACATTAACTCACATACTTTTGAAACATAGAATGCTTTATCTTATTTGTTTTCTCTATTTCAAACAAAGAATTCTAAAACCAAGAATTCATCACAATTTTTCAAATAGTCTTTGTCATGCAAATCAACATATTTGGCCTGTGGTAAAAAAAAACTGTTATCTGTATAAAGTTTAATGGATATATTTTATGAGAAATTATGTTGGCTTACAATCAAAAAACACTTGGTAAAATTGTCATTATCTATCTGCGTCAACTTGGGCAGGAAACTTAGCCATTATAAATGTCAGTTTTTTGGGAAGTAAAATATAATACTTTGATTTGCATAACTAGATGAACTTTTTAGGTTTCTTCCAATTCTAAGTTTAGATGTCTATATATCATTCTTGCAATGTGGTTGTATTTTAAGCCAAAAATTCAGCAGTTATAAATGTTTATTTTAGACTTTATGCTTCATCTTGCAACAAATCTAAAGGGACACAGTAAAAGAATAATTATTTTTTTCACGAACCCTTAATTCAGCTTTTTAAATGTTTACATGCTTAATTTCATCAATCAGACATTTAGAATGAAATGAAAGCCAACCCTCCAGAAAATTTTACTTCCCAGGTGGTGTTAGGATGAAATGTGCTGGAAGTAATATAAATTACTGATTTAAGAGCTATTGAAAAGAACAATTTTTTTTCAGACAACATTAAAATAAACCAATTTCTTTCAGATAAACTTTACGTGGTATATATAATTAATTTAAAAGATAAAGTATTGTAGAAAATAAAATATAAACATCAATAAACATTCATAATTATAATCTATATGAAAAATCATTAAAAGCAAGGGGAAACCATTTCATATTATGTAAGTATAATAAACTCACATAAGTGTAGGGAGGCTATTACATTCTTGAGATTTGGGAGTAATCTTTTAGCCAAAAAAAAAGGATGAAATCCTGATAGAATCAATAAGTTATCTAAACAGGAGTCAGATTTTGTTTTGAGAATAATAGCAAAGATAAATAGCTTTCTATTTTTACTCAAGAGTAGAACACAGCATTTTATTTCAGTTCATTTATGAAAAAGTGAAAAAATGTTATTTATATTTTTACCATAAAACTTCACTGCATTTATTTAACTTTTATTACTTACACATAACAACCAAAACTAGTTGAAAATGAGAATTAATTACATAAAATACATCATATCATTGATCACATATCATTGAGGACTTTTAAAAAAACTTATACTAAAGATTAATATAATACTAATCTTATACTAAATACTGATCTCATACTAAAGACTACTCAAATTGTGTCTCCTATGTGAAAAAGGAAATCTTACTTTCTCATTTGTTTCCTTCTTTTTCATGTGACTGATTGACTAACTTTAACATATACTGTCTAGATTCCATGAATGAATATTCAAGCACATCTCTCAAAAAGTGACATTCTAAATATTGGATTTATAATCATCTTTATGGAACGGTGAATGGTTGAAATAGTAGATTAATTCCAGTTCTTCAGTGCTCAGAGAATAGTTTAGTCAATTTATCTATTAGCCAGTGATTTTTAAGTGAGGCACTGAATCTGAATTTGTTTTTGCTGACAGATAGTTTCATTTATGTTAAATAAATATCTACTATAAATATTTAGAATGCACTTTATTTTACCAGTTCCACTAATATAGAATGTTTTCACTTTCCAATTATTATTATTATTATTATTATTATTATTATTATTATTATTTAGATGGAGTCTTGCTCTGTCACCCAGGCTGGAGTACATGTACAGTGGTGCTATCTCAACTCACTACAACCTCCGTCTCCTGGGTTCAAGCGATTCTCCTGCCTCATCCTCCCTAGTAGCTGGGATTACAGCTGTGCACCACCACACTCGGCTAATTTTTGTATTTTTTAGTAAAGATGGGATTTCACCATGTTGGGCAGGCTGGTCTCGAACTCCTGATCTCAAGTCATCTACCCCCTCGACCTTCCAAAGTGCTGGAATTACAGGCATGAGCCACTGCACCCGGCCCCAATTATTTCTTTATAGCATAAAACGTATTGCTCCTTAACTGCATGTGTACATAATTATACATATACACATAATATATGCATTTATAAAAGCATACATGCAATACATATATATACCTATATAGAATAAGCATGTAATTTTTTGTGTTCTCAATTTATGTTTCTAAGAAATGTTTTGACCTGACAATGGAGTTTATGGAGCTACTAAAATATGCTGTTATTGGTTTAGGTCTAATAAATGAGATTAAAATATTAATAGAATAGTAAATACAGTAAAGTATAAGAGAAATTAGAAAAGATCATTGGTATAAGTAATACTGTCATTGAACTTCAGTATCACTATATAAAAATTCATATATAACAATTAGCAAAAAATATTTGTTAAAATGTCTAATGTTAAATATATGGTCATATATTGAAATAATCTTAAAATATTTTATTATCTCAAGTAAGAAAGGACATTTAAAGAAGTGGAAGCAGGTATTTATTTTTCTAAGTGTTGGGAAGAGGAGCAAGCATGATTAGAGCTCGTCTAGATTTCAAGTATATCAACAATGAATAGGCTTTGCATGATTCAGGTAATTATTGTGACAGTAAAAATCTATTTGTGGGACTTCATTTTTTCAAGTAGAGAAGTCAGGCTTGTATAATTACAAATATTCAGCTGGTTAGCACGATATTTAAAAGCCTCTGTATTTCCATGTATAAAAAGCCTCTATATTTCCATATATAAGGCTGACCTATTCAGTATACTTCTATGGTTTTTTATTGTGAAACATTTTAATGAACTATTTCCAAGAGCCCATTTTCTGTTTCTAATGTTAATAGTATAACACATTTATTAAAGTAATGCAGTTGCACATGGCTGAAGAATTAAGAGAATATCTTCATGGTATTTATTTGTTTGTTTGTTTAATGATGGTAGATACAATTAGCCACTTAATCTAAACAGGCCTGCCTCTAATATGGCCTGGGCTAAATACAGATGGACCTTCAAAGACCTTGTCTACACCTTTCACATCATAAATCTAGCTAATACTTTGATAAATAAAAGTTACTTTATTTCTTTTTCTTTTTTATTTTTCTTTCTTTTTTTTTTTTTTTTTTTTTTTTTTTTTTTGAGATGGAAACTCGCTCTGTCGCCCAGGCTGGAGTGCAGTGGTGTGATCTCAGCTCACTGCAACCTCCGCCTCCCGGGTCCAAGCGATTCTTCTACCTCAGCCTCCTGAGTAGCTGGGACTACAGGCACGCGCCACCATGCCCAGCTAATATTCATATTTTTAGTAGAGATGGGGGTTTCACTACATTGGCCAGGCTGGTCTCAAATTCCTGACCTCGTAATCCACCTACCTTGGCTTCCCAAAGTGCTGGGATTACAGGAGTGAGCCAAAGTTACTTTATTTCTTAAATGGACAGGCATACCTTAAAAATAACTTATAAGGTAGGCTTGAATCTAGAATTCTTTGACTCTTTTGAGTCCTGGAACACAGTATGTCAGCACAGGAATGTGGATCTCTGGCTGCTGGTCTGTACAACACATGTCTTTTCCAACTTCTGGTTTTAGTTACAAACTTGGGGGTGGGGGGTTCTCATACATATGTGTCTAACAACTTCAGTCTCTATGTCTATACTCCATCCAAAGCTACTGCCTTTTCCAGCAGTCATGTGGACATCGTACGGACTTGTGTGCACTTATGTATGCACACAGTGGAAACATAAACCACTCTCACTGAGACAGACTCCCAAAAATCAAGGCGGTACCAAATAGGCAGAGAATTCTGGAATTATACATACTTAAAGCTGCTGTTCTAAGCAGGGTTGGGCCTGGTTAGTACCTGATGTTCTTCTGTGGTGTGTTTGGCCCCAGCGTTCTTTAAAGATTGAGGAGGTTTGGCCTTTAAAAATCAATCTGCCATGGAAATAGCTTTACTCAAAATTTTGGTTCACAGCCTCATTGGATTACCTATTGGGGCAAGTAAGTTTAGCCATGTGAACATGTTTGCAAACTGTTGAGTTTGTATTGCTACCTCATGACTAGAGTTCAGAGGTAAAAGCTATTGGATCTTTGGGTGTATCTATACATGTTTAGATCTGTTTATGTGTATATTCATTTATTATGTTATATGTTGTGTCCACCAAATTGATCCACAAATAAAACAGCACTCATAAATTAAGTAAATCAGTCTAGGCAACTTTCAAGTTTACTTGACTTAAGTAAATCTTTACTAAACATGCTGTCTTTAAAAATATGGGTGAAGCTGGAAACCATCATTCTGAGTAAACTATTGCAAAGACAGAAAACCAAACACTGCATGTTCTCACTCATGGGAATTGAATACTGAGAACACTTGGACACAGGGTGGGGAGCATCACACACTGGGGCCTCTCGTGGGGTGGGGGGGTGGGGGGAGGATAGCATTAGGAGAAATACCTAAAGTAAATGACGAGATAATGGGTGCAGCACACCAACATGGCACGTGTATACATATGTAAGAAGGCTGCACATTGTGCACATGTACCTTAGAACTTAAAGTACAATAAAAAAATTATTGGTAAGATAAAAATAGAAATACCTTCAGAATTGTCAGCATATGTTTTTGTCTGGGTTTGTCTACATATTTGTCTCTGTTAGATATACTGAATTATCAGAGTTTGGCATAGAATATTATAAAACTATAAACCCAGCCAAAACAAAATGATCATTGTGTAACTTTTTTTTGATAAGTAAAACTAACTTAATGTTGTTGGTTTAATGAAAATTGTTGACTCTTCTGAGTTATTGGTGGAAACACCCATGTAGTTAAATTTAAAGTTCTTATTAGGGTGGGCACCTGATATTCACAGGTTATAAAATAATTAACAAGGGAATGATTACCAGTTTTGTCTAATATCTCAGTTCTCATAAGTAGTGTAGATAAACTGCTAAAATGAATAAAATGTTAATGGAATAAATGAAATTTAAAAATATTAAAATTACTTTTGTTTCTCCTGGGATGTCTGAGTCATTTCCAAAATTGTAGGATTTCTCATCTATAAAATGCTAATATTTGATAGACCAGGATTTGTTGCTGGTCTATCAGCAACATGTAATGTTACTAAGAATAAGAGTTGTAGTTAATATATAATTCTGTATACGAAATATGCCAAAAATATGTATCCTTATTGAGAAAAAGAATAATTTTGTCTAATTCGCAAGTTATCTACAGATTAATTCAAATTACGGTCTTGAAATTTTTAAAATTAGGTAGAAAGGAACCATTAAGCAGGGGAGAGAGATGTGAAGAAAGTTATGATATGAAATTGTATTTTTGGTAAATAAGATTATAAAGAAAAGAGAGGAATTTTGTATGAGAAAGAATCTGGTATGGCAAATGTTTGTCCTAAAGTTAGATGACTGGTTATTTAAAATAAAGAGAAAAATTATGACAAAACAGAAAGCCCAAACATGTTATAGATAGTCTGTCCTAAGTCATATGCAGTTTTTATTTTTCCTGTTACTGTATGTGTCTATCTTTATGCACATATAGAGAAAATAAAAAGTTGAAAAACTTTAGGTAGTAAAGAATTCTTTAGAAACTGATCAAAAATTGGAGAGATTTGTCTAATTAACACTACTCATAAAGTTAGATAAAACAGGAAATAGTGTAAATAATATTTTGGCAGTTCGGCAACTCTTTTTTAATATAGTTAAGCATGAAGTCAGCTTTAACATGGAGCCAAATTTCTCATAAATGCTTCCAATGCTTTGTTTCACTTTATATTTGCTATTCTGCATAGATAGTACTAGCACTAAAGTACTTACTGGTCATATGCCTGAGGTAAATCTCTTACTTGCACAAAATGTATAGCAGTGTTGGTGGACTTAAAGACATTGATTTATATACAAGGAGCAACATATCTATCACAAGCTTTATTAAGATTCTGGGTAACACTATAGCCTCTAAGGTAAACTGGGTAGGAGAAATATTTGCGGTTGGTTTCCTGCTTACTTCTTTGTGCTTCTGATTTTTATTTATTTGTTGTTTGTCCTCCTTTGGGTTTTACTTACATATACATATATAAAACCAGTGATTTTTTTTTAGTTTCTAATGGAAGGCTTATATTTGATTCTATGAATAGTAATTTTTGTTTCCTATGCATTTCCAATAATTTATCATTTGCTTTATTTATTTAAATCCTAAGCTCTCTTTGTCAAGCCTTCAAAAAATAATAAGCACACCAGCCATTTAAAATTGGATTCGTTTTGCTTACCCCTAATGATCTAGAGAGCTATAAGGGCTTTGAAGTTTCTGGCCAAAAAATAAAATACTTACTTTTATAACTTCTTAACAGAAATAGTATATTATTTGTTCTGTAATTTGAAAAGTAAGCGAACACAGAAATGTTTAAATACAGTGTTCATTTCCAAAGTCAATCAATAATATGAATTGGTTTCAGATATTTTCCTTAAGTAATGAGGAAAAATTGTGATATGGGTACAAATTATTAATGATAGGAAAGATTAGCCTTGTTTTTAAGAAAATTATATTGACTGAGATTTTTCTCTATTTTAGCTGCGTTTACCATTATTAAAATTAAGTGACATTTACTTGGATTAAGTAGTAGAAAAAAACAGTGAAACTTTGTAGTTGTTTTATCACTATTGGGTTTTCACGTGTGTACTTGAAAAGAAAATATGTACAAGTGTTGCAATGGTTTGAAGAGTCTTGTGGTTAAAGTTACCTAATAAGTTGTTAGCACTGTAACTAAAAAGGAATCTCGAAAATGTGTGACAATACTCTTAAAATAGCTGAAAAGAAATTATTGTGAGCCCGTTCTTACTTTGTCCTTGTTTTGTTGTATAGTACTTAGAGTGAAAGATTATTTATCCTTAGACTGAATTTCCAGAACTAATATTTGCATTTACCATTTTTTGGTTGTTGCAAAGAAAAGTTAGTTGTTTTACTTCAATAAGTTTGGTACAGTACTGATCACATTTTGTATCCTTTTGGTCATAGTTCTATCACTAGAATGCTAGCAATTAGACATATGCAAGGAGTAAACTCAACAAACTAAGTGGTTTGAAGTGCTGAGTAGACACCATATCACGGTGTTTTAATTTGTGACATGCTAGAATGATAGGATTTTCTGCCATATAAATGTTCTATTAACGAATCCTTGTGCTCTTTAGTTACAGGGATTTGACTCCTGGTTCTGAAAATGACATTGACTTCTGCTAAGTTGTGAATATTGACACTAGTCAAAGCCTTGTCTTTAGACCGTGAGGAGGTGAAAATAAAAATAAACTGCTTTTGTGAGACATGTGGCCAGAAATTAAAACTAGTAAGTCCATCTAGGCCCAGTGACTATCATGGAAGAGGTGAACATGTAAGATTTTAAGGGCTAATTCTGAGGGATATAATTAGCTCAGGATTTTTCTATAAATTAAACATTAATGTCAATAGCACACTGATGGAAGGCCAGCATTTGGACCTCTGTGTTGGAATAAGAGGGTTCTCTTGGAGCATTAATCTGATCTTTAATTTAAAAAATTATAAAATTTGTATAAAATTTTTACAGTATGGTCAAACTTTTTACAGTATGGTCAAAAGGCTGATGCTTTCATAAAAATTGCTAGCCCAGTATGAAGCAGAGCAGGAGTTGATTGCATGGACTGAGGTAATGGAGGACTGAAATATATTTTTGGCTTTTTTGTTTGTTTGTTTAACATATTGCTGATTTTTGTCGTCTTGTTTTTCAGAATCTGGAGAACTTTTTCTTTTGAGCTATTTATAGCCTTCAACAACTGAGTAGAGTATACTCTTGTCAACAGAATTTAAGACATATTTCTCTCTCTGTGCCTGAGTTCTCCAGAGCACAGAAATTATTTGTGAATATTGATAATTCATGATAATGTAGTTGTTTGCATAAGTTCAATAAGAATCTTTTTTCTTTGATAAAGGACACAGTTGAAGAAACTGGTTATTCTCTCAGGACTTTGACTGAAATGGCATGTTTTCATATATGAACACATTGCTTTGAGAAATTGATATTGATTACAGAGCCAATGAAAACCCTGTAAAAGTTCTGGCCTCTTACTTTGTCTACACAGTTCCTTTGCAGGGTTCTTGGCCTCTGGTATGTTGATGGTGTCACTTTCTGACAGAACCAGGGACCTCAAGTTGTTTGGGGGCCAACAGAAAAGAAGCATTCTCCCAATTCATGCAGGTAACTGGAGGTGCAGATGAGTCTTTGGCTGGGATCAAGAGGCCTTTGGAGATTGAGTCTGAGGTTCCTTGTGACAGGTTCCAGCAAAGTCAATTTAGGAGTGCATATATGGACAATGATTCTTTTTGTACTTCGTGTAGGTAATCAGGACAAGTATAGCATGACTGAAGCTTATTTTGCAGCTAGGATGGTCTTGCCGTGATTTGTCTTTGGTGGCAGTGGGAGACTAGAGAGAGAGTGTGTGTGTTTCAAAAGAAAACTATAGTATTAGATTAACCTTTGATTTCTGGGTGGCCACCTGGCCACCCATGATATGGAGCTGCCCATAATGCCCCTCCTCAGCATGAAGCAGCCAGAAAGATCAACTATCAGATTTGCTATTATTAAGAAATTAATAAATATAAAGTAGGGGACTGAAACTGACCCAGTTGTCTCAGAGGATTGATGTCTATGGGATTCTTTTGAATAAGCATAGAAACTGACTCACCTAGTCTTAAAACTTGAGAATGTTATGTTTGCCTTATCTCAGTTTCTTCCTCAGGAAATCAACCATCAGGCCTCCCAGACAGTATCAAGGAACTGAAACTTACCAGATCACTGCATCTGGACAATGAGACACTAGACCTCTCACTCATCATGATTGCCTAAGCGACCACCTTCTCTTCCTTACCCCTCCCTAATTTCTGTGTACCTGCATGTAGTTACATTTCTTTCCCTCTATGTAAACACCCAATTTTATTTGGTCAGAAAAATGGACTTAAGACTTATCTTCCATCTCCTCAGCTGCAGCATCTAATTAAGGCCTTCCTCCCTAACAATACTAATTTGTCTCAGTGACTGGCTTTCTGTGTGGTAACCCACAGTAACTAGACCAAATGCCTAGTGTTTTGGTAACAACACTATGACCTACCTCTAAAAGGTACATTATAATATTTAATTATCTCCAGTGTATCATATGTAATGCCCATTACACAATAAAGAAAATTAACTACAACTGTCAGAGCCGAGAGGAGCCTAAGGAAGCATAACTACTAAAAAGAAAGTAGTGTCATAGACAGGATCCTGGAAGAGAAAGAGGGCATTACATGAAAATTAAGAGAATCTGAGTTGCATATTGGCTTTAGGAAATAATGAATCAAAATTGGTTCATGAATTATGACAAATTTACCATACTAATATAAAACATTGATAATTAAAAATACTTGGGTGTTACAGAAAAATCTCTATATTTATTATATTTATATATCACAGTTATAATATATTATATATTATATTATGTATTATATTTATTCTATAGCTATAAACTATTCTAAAACAAAAGTGCACAATAAAATAATTACTAGACTTGAAAATAAACAAGAAAATGTGACCCAAGTTCAAGAAACAGATGTCCTAATAGCCAGATATTACTGTTAGAAGAGACAAATTTAAAGGTGTTATAAATTGATTCAAATAATTACAGAAAATGTGTTCAAAAATTAAAAGTCAGTAATATAAACAATAATAAATAAATCATTTATATAAATAAAATATAGATAATTCAGACAGCAATTTAAAAGTACATGTAAAAGAGAAATAAAGGGTATTCAAATAGGAAGAGAGGAAGTCAAATTGTCTGTTTGCAGATGATATGATTATATAGTTAGAAAACCCCATCATCTCAGCCCAAAATCTCCTTAAGCTGATAAGCAACTTCAGCAAAGTCTCAGCATAAAATATCAATGTGCAAAAATCACAAGCATTACTATACACCATTAACAGACAGAGAGGCAAATCATGACTGAACTCCCATTCACAATTGCTACAAAGAGAATAAAATAGCTAGGAATACAACTTACAAAGGATGTGAAGGACCTCTTCAAGGAAAACTACAAACCATTAGATCAGGAAATAAGAGAGGACACAAACAAATGGAAAAACATTCCATGCTCATGGATAGGAAGAATCAATATTGTGAAAATGGCCATACTGCACAAAGCAATTTATAAATTCAATGCTATCCCCATCAAACTACCATTGACTTTCTTCACAGGATTAGAAAAAACTAATTTAAATTTCATATGGAACTAAAAAAGAGCCCGTATAGCCAAGAAATTCCTAAGCAAAAAAAAAAAAATCAATAAATAAATAAATCTGGAGGCATCACACTAGCTGACTTCAAACTGTACTGCAAGACTACAGTAACCAAAACACATGGTACTAGTACCAAAACGGATATATAGACCAATGGAACAGAACAGAGCCCTCAGAAATAATACCACACATCTACAACCATCTGATCTTTGACAAACCTGACAAAAACAAGCAATGGGGAAAGGATTCCCTATTTAATAAATGGTGTTGCAAAAACTGGCTAGCCATATGTAGAAAACTGAAACAGGACACCTTCCTTACACCTTATACAAAAATTAACTCAAGATGAATTAAAGACTTAAGCAGAAGACCTAAAAACATAGAAACCCTAGAAGAAAACCTCGGCAATACCTCAGGACATAGGCATGGGAAAAGACGTCATGACTAAAACACCAAAAGCAATGGCACCAAAGCCAAAATTGACAAATGGGATTTAATTAAACTAAAGAGCTTCTGCACAGCAAAAGAAACTACCATCAGAGTGAGCAGGCAACCTATAGAATGGGAGAAAATTTTTGTAATCTATCCATCTGACAAAGGGCTAATACCAGAGTCTGCAAGGAACTTAAACAAATTTACAAAAAAAAAAAAAAAAAAAAAAAAAAAAAACATCAAAAAGTGGGTGAAGGATGTGAACAGACACTTCTCAAAAAAAGAAATCTATGTGGCCCACAAACATGTTAAAAAAGCTCACCATCACTGGTCATTAGAGAATTGCAAATCAAAACCACAATGAGATACCATCTCAAGCCAGTTATAATGGCAATCATTCAAAAGTCAGGAAACAACAGATGCTGGAGAAGATGTGGAGAAATAGGAACGCTTTTACACTGTTGGTGGGAGTGTAAATGCTTTTACACTGTTGGTGGGAAGTTCAGCCATTGTGGAAGACAGTGTGGCCATTCCTCAAGATCTAGAACCAGAAATACCATTTGACCCAGTAATCTCATTACTGGGCATATACCCAAAAGATTATAAATCATTTTACTATAAAAACACATGTGCATATATGTTTATTGCATCACTGTTTACTATAGCAAAGACTTGGAACCAATCTAAATGCCCATTAATGATAGACTGGATAAAGAAAATGTGGCACATACACAGCGTGGAGTACTATGCAGCCATTAAAAAGGATGAGTTCATGTCCTTTGCAGGGACATGGATGAAGCTGAAAAACATCATTCTCAGCAAACTAACACAGAAACAGAAAACCAAACACTGCATGTTCTCACTCATAAGTGAGAGTTGAACAATGAGAACACATGGACACAGGGAGTGGAACATCACACACCAGGACCTGTTGGTTGGTGAGGGGCTAGGAGAGGGATAGCATTTGGAGAAATACCTAATGCAGATGACTGGTTGATGGGTGCAGCAAACCACCATGGCACGTGTATATCTATGTAAAAAACCTGCACGTTCTGCACATGTACCCCAAAACTTAAAGTATAATTTTAAAAAAAAAGAAACAAATGGAAATTCAACATCTAAAAAATTATATTCATTGAGATGAATAATTAACTGAAATTGCTTTAAGGTTAAACTAGAAATGACAGAATGAGAAAGAGAATTGGAGAGTCACTGAACCTGAAGAAAGATTAATAAAAATATTTCAATCACAAAAATATTTTTTTAAATGACTAAAAATGAAAATATGCTCAGGGGTTTGTGTGACTATATTAAGCATTTTAATGTGTAGGTAATTAGAATCCTAACTGAGGAAGAAAGTGAGATAATGGAATGGAAAAATATTTGAGGAAATTGTAATAGAAACATTTTCTCAAATTTGATTGAAAAGAATAATGCAGGTATACAAAGAGCTGAACAAATTCCAACATAAAAATCAAAAGAATAAAATCACATTTAGGCACTTCATGATCAAACTGACGAAAATGAAAGTCAAGATGACAACATTTAAAGCAACCGGAGGACAAAACACAGGAGAAAAATACTTGAAAAATTACTTCCAGTCAGAAACAGTGTGGACCAGAAGACACTGGAATAACATTATTAAGGGGCGGAAAGATAAAAACAAAATGTTAACACATGATCTTTTAACTATGTTAAAATTAAGACCAAAATAAAATATTATCAGATAAGAAAATACCTGAGGGAATTTTATCATCACTCAACAAACATTCCAAGAAATGCTAACTGATATACCTCAGGGTGAAGAAATATAAATAAAGATGAAAACAGATGCTTCTTTAAACATTTATTGGGCTGGGTACGGTGACTCACGCCTGTAAACCCAGCGTTTTGGGAGGCTGAGTGGGGTGGATCACCTGAGGTCAGGAGTTTGAGACCAGCCTGGCCAACATAGCAAGATCCTGTCTCTACTAAAAATACAAAAATTAGCTGGGCATGGTGGCGGGCATCTGTAACCCTAGTTACATATGTATATGTATATGTAATCCCAAATACACATATAAATATATAAGTATATACATATGTATATAGTATATAAGTATATATACGTATATAGTATATACATACATATAGACTATATATGCATATATACGTATATATGTTTGTATATACATATATGTGTATATATACATCCTTCTGCTTTTGTGAGATGTCTTTTCCATTATATATGCATATATACTATATATGTGTATATATACATATATTATATATGTATATAATATATTATATAATATATAGATACATATATTATAATATGATGTATATACACAATATATTATATTATATGTACATAATTATAATAATTATATATAATTATATATACATATATAATTATATATTAAATATGTATATATGAGATGTCTTTCCATTATATATGTATATATACATATATTATATAATATATAGATACATAGTAGTCATATTATTATATTATAATGTATATATATTATATAAAATATATAATATATACACATAATTATAATATGTAAAATATATGATATATAATATATGTGTAAATATAATATATTATATATGTATATATACATATATACATATATGTGTATATATACATACATTATATATGTGTATATATACATATATTATATCTATTTGTGTATATATACATATATGTAATATATGTATATATACACATATAATGTATGTATATATACACAGACATACATATATATACACATGTATAATGTATGTATATATACACATATATAGTATATATGCATATATAATGAAATAGACATCTCACAAAAGCAGGATGTATATATACACATATGTATATATACACATATGTATATATACACATATATAGTATATATGCATATATAGTACATATACTATATATACATGTATGTATATATAGTCTATATATGTATATACCATATACTTATATATACACTTATGTATGTATATCATGTGTATATATTATATATGTATATATTATGTATGTATATATTACATACATAATATATACATATATAATATATGTATATATGTATATATTTTATGTTACATATATGTTACATATATATTACATAATATATGTATATATATTATATGTGTACATATATATAGTATATATGCATATATAATGGAAAAGACATCTCACAAAAGCAGAAGGATGGGCAATGCCAAATGAGATTGTATTGTTTTTAGTTATAAGTTTTTAATATAGAAAGTAGACAAGGTGATGTGATGTGGAATCTGGAAAATATGAGGTGTGAAGTAAGTTGGCAAGTATGAAGTAGTAAGTGGAAAGTGTCAAGAATAAAGTGAATTTTATAATGTAAACTGGTAACAACATTAATTCCAAATAGTCTTTGATAAGGTAAGAATGCATACTGATAACCATAGAGCACCTATGGGCAAAATAATGAGGCAGCTGAGCTATGGTGCCAATAGAATAAATCAAAATGAATACTAAAAAATATTTAACTAATGTAAAGTAAGTCAGGAAAGAAGTAAGTTCTGTACGTTTGACTATTTTATATGCTTCACATAAGAAGAATAATTCAGTATTCGGGATGAAAGCAACACTGAATAATATGTTACCTAAAATGCATACTTTAAATATAAAATCCCAAAAAGGCTGAACAAAAAAATGGAAATTAAAAGTATAAATTATCTCAGCTTTTATTTTTCTGAAAGTGTATTTATTTTGCTCTCATGTTTAATGTTCCTTGAGGATCCCAAATAGGTCACCACTACAATATGTTTGGATCTTAGTGTCTATAACGAAAATATTGTCAAGTATGCCCTTCAATCGACAAGCAGGAAATATTGTTTATGTTCTGTGCCACTTTTTGCCTAAATCTGTTATTTGTACTTTCTTTTTTTATTCTTTTAAATTTGAGCAGTCTATAACGTTTCTTGCATAGTAACAATGGCATTGGAGTGAACTACCACTGTTTACCTGTGTGCCTTAAATATATTCTCATGTATTACACCAATATTTTTCAAACCAAGATTGCATAAACTCACCATATACGTTAGGAAAATAAATACTTACGGTTTTTTAGTTAGTTTTTTTTTTTTTAATTGTGTATGTGGCTGTGTATAGTGGTTAGATAAAAAACAAGAAATGTGGGTTTAAAATGTTTCTTATGTAACACTATTTCTAGAGCTATCTCTAAACCTGTATGTGAAAGTCACTATAATTTAATAATTAAATCAAAATTTAAGTGAGATTAGTATTTAAAGTTATTTTATAAACAAATATGCTAAAAGGATTGTGGATTTTAACAGATTGTGAATCTTATATACATAAGATCTATCCAGTAGGATACTATAGAGGCCATGTAATAAACAGAGTCTAAGGCAAAATGTTTCATATTGTATTTTTTTAGAAATCCACATATTCAGGCATTGTAGAAAGAGTATTTTTAAACTGTAACAAAATTACAACAAAACACTGAGCTTGATTTTCAGAAGAAGGCTTGAAATTCTTCAAAGCACAGTTTTTCTTTCCTTTCAAAAGTGAACCAGAGTCCTTAGTGATTAGAATGAACCAGAAAGAAATTGTTCTCTGAAATTAGAAGTCTTTGTAGTTGTCGGATAGAATAAACACAAATTCCTGATGGAGTGGCTAAGTGACAGCAGCCACCTTTTGTTCATTACATTGCTGGAGGATACCCAATGAATGACAATTGTTGCAATTCTGAACCTGCATTGTTATTAAGAAAAATGAAGAATGACTTAGGAAGCTCTTAGCAGTAATGATGCTTGTCCCAGCAGATGAGCAAGAAAGCTAAGCAGCTGCAAACTACTCTGTTTGATGAGAAGCGTTATGATTAAAGAAGGAACACATCAGGGCTTTTATAAACTTGATAAGGGGATTATTTGAACTATAGAAAGTAATGGAGTGTTAACCATCATAATACCTCTGCTACTTGATACATTGAGACTTAGAGGGGTTACTAAAATTATTTTCCACACAGGCCATTTGAATTTAAATAATATTCTGAATTGAATCTTACTTTTTGAATAAAAACATCTAAAATAATAAATGTTAAAAGAGATATGATTTGCAAAATAGGAATGAAAATGAAGATCTCTTAAAATGTGATCACAACATAGCTGTGAATGCATTATGCTATAATTCTCAAGTTATAGTCTATTAATCAGTTAGATATCAAATATCAAATAATAGAGATATGCATAATAGTAATGACATTCTGATTCAGTCAGTAAAAATAATCCTGAAGCCATTTTTCAAATGTATACACAATTAATAGTAAATACATCCCCAATAGAGCATTAGGCAAATTTAAGTAGTTCTCAATTTCTTGAATCCAAACATGACTGAAATAATTCTTATATTCATGGCACAATTATGCTAAAGAAAAATAACTTACATCGACTTTTAATAATATTATGGAAAGAAAGAGCATTTCACTGAACTTTTCTTTAACAAAATTCATATAGGAGTAAGGCATGATTGGAAAAGGCCAATTTTAGAAACATAGTTTCAATTCAGATTCTGCCACTTGTATGCTATGTTGTCATAAATAAGTGATTAACTCTCGCTAAGCTTTAGGTTCTTATCTCTAACTTTGATACTTTTCTAAAATAGCTAGTACAATCCCTGGAACATAATTTCCTGTCAATACATGAATGGTTTTATTATACATGGATTTCTAATCAATAATTTTATTATTGTGGTTTATTGCTAATATAAAATTTGAAAAGTAATATTTATCACTGGGTAGAATTAAAGGACTAGATAATTAAATCGACTTCCTTGAATAGAAAAGATGAGTCTGCTTAAAATGTTCCAGAAAACTTCAGAAACTGCAGGAAAAGTAGAATAGTGTGCTACCATTTAAATCAAATCTAGGTTCTGAATTTATGTAAATTATATCTCTTCATGTTTACATCCTATGTCTAACATAGGCTGCCTGAAAATAACCGTGACCTGCTTTGTTGTACTTTCACTATATATTTTGTATGCAAAATAAATGATACATAAAATACAAATGACATTATATGTTTGAGATTATATGAATGAGAAAAATAATTATTTAAATCTTTAAAATTAACGTGGTAAATGTTTTTATTGCATGCCATTTTTGAGAACTGGTCATTTCACGATTACCATGACATAGGCTGCCTGAAAATAACCGTGACCTGCTTTGTTGTACTTTCACTATATATTTTGTATGCAAAATAAATGATACATAAAATACAAATGACATTATATGTTTGAGATTATATGAATGAGAAAAATAATTATTTAAATCTTTAAAATTAACGTGGTAAATGTTTTTATTGCATGCCATTTTTGAGAACTGGTCATTTCACGATTACCATGAAGATGGAGAAACCACTTACATTGAATTTCGTTTAAATTTTTAATTTTGTTGGCTTATTAGGGTGGTCGTAGTATTTAGCTCAATGATAAAACATTTTCTCATTATAATACACAGATATGGTAATTATACATTTAGAAAGCAACTATAGTTTTGTTGTCTCTTTCTATATGTGATGTGATTAAATTCACTGTAGACTCCCTCATTTAAAAGATGCTTAAATATCACAATTACGTATATCTGCTTTTATGTTCATTCAAAATTGTTATTGAAAATTGTTTCTGTTTATTACTTTATAAAAATGATTTTTTTTCAAGAAAGACTACTAGCTATTATATAATAATGAACACAAAATGTGGTGATAATGATTGGTAAAAAAATATAGAAATTGTTATTAAAGTTTTTATTAATGTTACAGTTTCATCTCGGGAAATCAACTCTGTAATTTTATTTATTTTTCATATTTCAATATGGTTTTTTCACATATATTGCAATTTGTTATTCCTATGATACTATATAGAAAAAGAAAACACCTCTTTGCTGAGTCAGAGGTACATGTTTAGTTCCCAAAGAATTATTTGAATATGTTGCTAGCACTTATGCAAAGCATTTGTCACACAGCTTAAATTAGGATGTATCTGAACAAAGCCTTACCCACTGATACTTTACACGTCACTGCTAGCCCATATTCCATCTACACTAGCATTTTGCACTCCAATGCGCAGTGGCTATGAGGAACAAAGATATCATTAATGAGCAAACCTAAACAACCATCATCATAAAGAGTATAAACCTGTTTTGTTTTCTTTTACTAAACAGGGAAGATAATGTTAATAATTACTACTGCCCAACTTCACCTGTTCATGGAGTTCCTAGGGCAGTTTTGGCCTTCCCCAATTCTCCCTGGCCTACAGATAAAGCAATAAATGCGAGAGTATATACATCGTTCTCCTGATTCCATCATTGGGTTTTAAATGAGTTCAAAAAATCTTTTATTCAATGTGATTTTTATGCTGTTGGATTGAATTTTTTAAAATTAGATTGATGGAATGTCAAGAATGTACATTGAATATTTATCTCATGTAAGTAAGAATATATCTAGTCATAAATTTGTTCATTTTAATTAGTATATAAAATGACTTTATTAATGTAAACATTAATTTTAAACAATTTGAAAATGGAAGCTATAATTAAGGAAGACTTCTAACAAAGTCTTTATAACTAAAATGGAGTTCAAGGGAAAAAAAGGACATGGAGCCAGAACCTCTTTATATTGTGATATATAAATTGTGATCGATGCTATCTTAATCTTTTTATCCCGTTGCTAGATGCAGTTCATGTTTTATTCATTTTTTTCTCTGAAACTTTAAGAACATCACGGGAGACTGACTATCTTTTTTATTTTCTAATTTGGAGACAACCAGCAATGGGCATCCTCATATAAATGATTCTAATATAATCACTCTGCCTTCAATAAACACTGCAATGAAATTGACTTCGCCATTAGCTCCAACAGTTAAGAACCTTCATACTACATTGGTTTTATGACTTGTCTAAAAATTCTAAATCATTACAATTAAGCTAACATAAGTGAAAGCATGAATTTTTCATTAAGACGGTATGAATGAATTTACTTTCATTTGCTTCTTAGGAAATATGACAAGAAATTCTATATCATAGTTTCTAAAACTTACTAAAAAGATTCAGATTTCTGAATAAATATGCATACACAACTTATATATGTGAGATTAAAATTACTTGGAATGTGAACACTCCATATGATGATGTTACCAAGATTTGTGGGAAAACAAATGTTTAAGTTAATTTATATTATATTTTAACTTCATCTGTTACAGTTATGTTGAATTTTACTAAGGGTTGTAGTATTGTAGCTAATTATCTTTTACTGCTAATTCTCTTTTCATGTTCTAGCTAATTTTCTTTTAATGGGGCAAGATAAACAAAGGTAATTTGAAAAATATTTTTTCCAGTTACCTTATTTCTAAAGGCTTTTCTCTGTTTCTTGTCAATATGATATTCCTTATGGCTGCTGATAATTTTTTTCTTTAAGAATCTAATATGTCAAATCCAATTTAGGGCAACACTTGCCAACCTAAGTCCTTATACGGTTTCAAAGATAAAGTGTTCATCAGACAAAGTGATAACAAGGGATGTGCTGGCTGTTTATAATCCCCTTCAGGTGTATTTGTTGAACTTAGTGACTTAAAGCAGGTCCAAATCTCAATTCCTGACAGCTGGGGCTTTTGAGAAGCTTTTCTGAAATATCAAATGCAAGAAGGCTATAGTTTTGAGATTCATTTGTATTTTCTCTCAGGAACAAGACTGCATTCTAAATCAGGTAAAAACACTGGAGTTTCAATGAATTTCTCCAATAGAAATGTTAAAAAATTTTGGATAGAATTGTATTCCCAAACATGAAGCTGCTGATTGCTGAAAAACAGTCCAGACACATTGTAGAAAATAATGATGAAAAAGATGAAAAACACATGTAAAATATTTGTAATTTTGCTCAAATTTTCAAAATGCATCAAGGGTTCACTTAAATAGTATCAATGTGGATGGGCTTATTTGATTTTGAAGAAAGAATTTCTGAATATACTAGAGGCAGCTGACATGGTGGATCAGGATTGGCAAGAATCTGACTCTTACCAATATGATAAATCACACCTTAATCTCTCCAAACAGAAGCCCCATTTTCATGCAGCTAGTTCCAATTAAATAACATTTCTTATTTATGCAGAATGTCTAAGAAGATTTAGATACCTTTCTCTGTACAATGCCACTTATCATTTAGAAACAGAATTGGGATGCTTTGATACACCAAGGCAGGATTAGTCTTTGTACTATTTACATGTATATAGACATGATCATTTATTCTATGATGAAGTACTGACAGCACAAAGCTTCCTTTGCTAAGCAACCTGCAGTCTTTAAGAGATGAATGCATGTTAAGATTTACAATGAAAATAAAACAGTAGCTTCAATGTCTCTCAAAATGAAAAAAGGGGTTAATAAAATCATTAACTGATAGAAATTATTAAAATATGTAGTTATATAATAATTTAATATTTTACATATGTACCTATCAAAATATTTAAATAAATTTTGACATGATGAATTTCTTCCAAAAATACAGGGAATCATTTGTATATGTTTCATTTCTAATTGGCTCTACACAATGCCAAAGTAGCTGCTCAAAGAAATCTAACCAAAAATGATACAAAATGCACACATACATTAAATTAATTATTTTGGTTATAATTAGTGATTCAATCAACAGTATACTTTTATTATTATTATTGTACTTTAAGTTCTAGGGAACATGTGCACAACGTGCAGGTTTGTTACATATGTATACATGTTCCATGTTGGTGTGCTGCACCCATTAACTCATCAATTACATTAGATATTTCTTCTAATACAATCCCTCCCTCCTCCCCCTACCCCACAGCAGGCCCCAGTGTGTGATGTTCCCCACCCCGTGTCCAAGTGTTCTCATTGTTCAATTCCCACCTATGAGTGAGAACATACGGTGCTTGGTTTTCTGTCCCTGCGATAGTTTGCTCAGAATGATGGCTTCCAGCTTCATCCGTGTCCCTGCAAAGGACATGAACTCATCCTTTTTTATGGCTGCATAGTATTATATGGTGTATATGTGCAACATTTTCTCAATCCAGCCTATCATTGATGGACATTTGGGTTGGTTCCAAGTCTTTGCTATTGTGAATAGTACTGCAATAAACATACGTGTGCATTTGTCATTATAGTAGCATGATTTATAATCCTTTGGTTATATACCCAGGAATGAGATGGCTGGGTCAAATGGTATTTCTAGTTCTAGATCCTTGAGGAATCACCACACTGTTTTCCACAATGGTTGAACTAGTTTGTAGTCCCACCAACAGTGTAAAAGCATTCCTATTTCTCCACATCCTCTCCAGCACCTGTTGTTTCCTGACTTTTTAATGATCACCATTCTAACTGGTGTGAGATGGTACCTCATTGTGATTTTGATTTGCATTTCCCTGATGGCCGGTGATGATGAGCATTTTTTCATGTGTCTGTTAGCTGCATAAATGTCTTCTTTTGAGAAGTGTCTGTTCATATCCTTCGCTCACTTTTTGATGGGATTGTTTTTTTCTTGTAAATTTGTTTAAGTTCTTTGTAGATTCTGGATATTAGCCCTTTGTCAGATGGATAGATTGCAAAATTTTTCTCCCATTCTGTAGGTTGCCTGTTCACTCTGATGATAGTTTCTTTTGCTATGCAGAAGCTCTTTAGTTTAATTAGATCCTATTTGTCAATTTTGGCTTTTGTTTCCATTGCTTTTCGTGTTTTAGTCATGAAGTCCTTGCCCATGCCTATGTCCTGAATGTTATTGCCTATGTTTTCTTCTAGAGTTTTTATGGTTTGAGGTCTGACATTTAAGTCTTTAATCCATCTTGAATTAATTTTTGTACAAGGTGTAAGGAAGGGATCCAGTTTCAGCTTTCTACATATGGCTAGCCAGTTTTCCCAACACCATTTATTAAATAGGGAATCCTTTCCCCATTTCTTGTTTTTGTCAGGTTTGTCAAAGATCAGATGGTTGTAGATGTGTGGTATTATTTCTGAGGGCTCTGTTCTGTTTCGTTGGTCTATATCTGTGTTTTGGTACCAGTACCATGCTGTTTTGGTTACTGTAGCCTTGTAGTGTAGTTTGAAGTCAGGTAGCGTGATGCCTCCACCTCTGTTCTTTTGGCTTAGGATTGTCTTGGTGATGCGGGCTATTTTTGGTTCCATATGAACTTTAAGTAGTTTTTTCCAGTTCTGAGAAGAAAGTCATTGGTAGCTTGATGGAGATAACATTGAATCTGTAAATTACCTTGGGCAGTATGGCCATTTTCACGATACTGATTCTTCCTATCCATAAGCATGGAATGTTCTTCCATTTGTTTATGTCCTCTTTTATTTCGTTGAGCAGTGGTTTGTAGTTCTCCTTGAAGAGGTCCTTCACATCCCTTGTAAGTTGGATTCCTAGGTATTTTATTCTCTTTGTAGCAATTGTGAATGGGAGCTCACTCATGATTTGGCTCTCTGTTTGTCTGTTATTGGTGTATAGTAATGCTTGTGATTTTTGCACATTGATTTTGTATCCTGACATTTGGCTGAAGTTGCTTATCAGCTTAAGGAGATTTTGGGCTAAGACGATGGGGTTTTCTAAATATACAATCATGTCATCTGCAAACAGGTACAATTTGACTTCCTCTTTTATTAATTGAATACCCTTTATTTCTTCTCTTGTCTGATTGCCCTGGCCAGAACTTCCAATACTCTGTTGAATAGGAGTGGTGAGAGAGAGCATCCCTGTCTTGTGCCAGTTTTCAAAGGGAATGCTTCCAGTTTTTGCCCATTTAGAATGATATTGGTTGTGGGTTTGTCATAAATAGCTCTTATTATTTTGAGATATGTCCCATCAATACCTAATTTATTGAGAATTTTTAGCATGAAGGGTTGTGGAATTTTGTCAAAGGCCTTTTCTGCATCTATTGAGATAATCATGTGGTTTTTGTCTTTGGTTCTGCTTATATGATAGATTACGTTTATTGATTTGCATACGTTGAACCAGCCTTGCATCCCTGGGATGAAGCCAACTTCATCATGGTGGATAAGCTTTTTGATGTGCTGCTGGATTCGTTTGCCAGTATTTTATTGAGGATTTTTGCATCAGTGTTCATCAGGGATATTGGTCTAAAATTCTGTTTTTTTGTTGTGCCTCTGCCAGGCTTTGGTATCAGGATGATGCTGGCCTCATAAAATGAGTTAGGGAGGATTCCCTCTTTTTCTATTGATTGGAATAGTCTCAGAAGGAATGGTACCAGCTCCTCTTTGTACCTCTGGTAGAATTCGGCTGTGAATCCATCTGGTCCTGGACTGTTTTTGTTTGGTAGGCTACTAATTATTGCCTCAATTTCAGAGCCTGTTATTGGTGTATTCAGGGGTTCAACTTCTTCCTGATTCAACTTCTTGGGAGGTTGTATGTGTCCAGGAATTTATCCATTTCTTCTACATTTTTTAGTTTATTTGCATAGAGGTGTTTATAGTATTCTCTGATGGCAGTTTGCATTTCTGTGGGATCTGTGGTGATATCCCCTTTATCATTTTTTATTGCATCTATTTGATTCTTCTCTCTTTTCTTCTTTATTAGTCTTGTTAGTGGTTTATCTATTTTTTGAACTTTTCAAAAAACCAGCTCCTAGATCCATTGATATTTTGAAGGGTTTTTTGTGTCTCTATCTCCTTCAGTTCTGCTCTAATCTTAGTTATTTCTTGCCTTCTGCTAGCTTTTGAATGTGTTTGCTCTTGCTTCTCTAGTTCTTTTAATTGTGATGTTAGGGTGTCGATTTTAGAACTTTCCTGCTTTCTCTTGTGGGCATTTAGTGCTATAAATTTCCCTCTACACACTGCTTTAAATGTGTCCCAGAGATTCTGGTATGTCTTGTCTTTGTTCTCGTTGGTTTCAAAGAACATCTTTATTTCTGCCTTCATTTCGTTATTTACCCAGTAGTCATTCAGGAGCAGGTTGTTCAGTTTCCATTAGCTGTGTGGTTTTGTGTGAGTTTCTTAATCCTGATTTCTAATTTGATTGCACCGTGGTCTGAGAGACAGTTTGTTATAATTTCTGTTCTTTTACATTTGCTGAGAAGTGCTTTATTTCCAACTATGTGGTCAATTTTGGAATAAGTGAGATGTTGTACTGAGAAGAATGTATATTATATTTATTTGGGGTAGAGAGTTCTGTAGATGTCTATTAGATCCTCTTGGTGCAAAGCTGAGTTCAAGTCCTGGATATCCTTGTTAACTTTCTTTTTCGTTGATCTGTCTAACGTTGACAGTGGGAGTCTGACAGTATTATTATTGTCTGGGAGTCTAAGTCTCTTTGTAGGTCTCTAAGGACTTGCTTTATGAATCTGGGTGTTCTGTTGTTCCATCTTGGTCAGAAGTGGAAGTTATGCATTTGTTAAACTGTGAAAAGTGTGTCCTGAGCAGAAACAACATTGAGTCGTACAACATGGCAATAGATGAGGATTATTGTAACTCCATAACTAGTAATGCTGGCAGAAGTGCTGCTGCCTGGAAAGGAAAATGTATATCCTGAATATGTTTCCATTCCTATGAGAAAAGCAACACCGTTCTTTTCAAAATAGAAAAGATGTAATCAAGCTACCACTATGCAGAAAGTTGGTCACTGCGTGGTAATGATACCATTTCAGGATAATAACATTGGCCTGTCGTGCTTGCAGGTTTTACACTCAGCCAAATTATGCAGATAAATCCTGGAGAGTAGTCTATGTATTGGAGCTCATGATCTTTCACCATAGTTGCCTCTTGGCAGGCATATACATTGGTCATAAATCGCTCTACATGTGCCCACTCAAAGAGTAACACCAACATACTTATTTCCTCAGAGATGTCTTTGTTACATTAATTTTTAAATTTTATTTTATTTTCCAAATTCTACTCAAGCTGGCCAACTTAATAGTTACTATCTAGAATCCTACCTGTATATAGTCACATTTCAGGTCATCTATACTTCCACACAAAGTAGACAAGAAACTTTACCTAAGAATCTGCTTATTGGAAGGATTTCCTGTCACTAAAGTCATTCAGGGCACTCTAAGTCACATCGTAGTGCAGCAGCCACACATGATCAGCTGTATATGGAAAATAAATCACATCCAACTATAAACAAGCACAGGTCATAGGCAATTCGCCATGACACCCTAGGTATGAATTGAGAGAAAGGTAGCAAAGTAGTTATAACAGGTAGGTATAACAGGGGTCTGAACCACCTTCTTATGCAGTTGACATGTACTCTCAGGACCTACAGTTTCAAAGTCATGCTTAGAGTAGAATGTGAATTATAGATATTCGATCTTAAATTTGAGTGCAACTACACACATGTAATTTTACAGGTTAATTTATCTTATACACTATGCTTATGAGGACTGATTAGAGATTCATAGTCACCTGGTGTCCCCTAGTCAGGAGTTTAGCTTTTACCAGTGCTCATTTTCAGGCAAAAACTTGGCATTCTCCCAAAACACTACAATCCATGCTGTGATTCTCTAAATGGGACTCACCCAAGACTCTATACAGAATCTATCAGTGCCGCTGATACTTCTAATACTCTTTTATTTGATGGATCACAAAGCAGGACAGCTTGTACCACAGCTTGAACCTGATGCAGAGAGGTCTTTTGCTCCAAGACCCACTCAACATTGGCAGCCTTATGGGTTACCTGATAAATGGGTTAAGCAGCATAGCCAATTGTGATATACGTTTCCTCCAAAATCCAAGGAGACAAATCAAGACTTTTGCATTTTTCAAAATTGCAGATGGTACAGGAAGCCTCTTACTTAAAAATGACACCCATTGACCCTTGGAATTCAGATGTCTTAGATAATCAACTCACTTCTCAACTCTACTATGACAGAGAAAGGAAATTGACGTAGCTCTGCAGCAGGACACCAAGCATGATCTTAGCCTAACTTAAATTATCATTCTTTTCTAACTTACAGAAATAAGTTGCATAATAGATGCCAAGATTTTCATTATTTCAATAAAGACGCCACACCTGGAGCATAAGCCATGATTAGCATCACCACCTACGAATGGTATCATGGTAATTCTTTATAATTCATCTGGGTTTAGTGATGATTAAAAGGTGTAAATGGAGATAAGATAGCGAATATCAGCTCTGAATCTCTCAAGTCTTTTATGGTAACAGTAATCTCTACAGTTCAGTCTAGGATGTAATACTGGTATGGCTCACCTTCTTTGTAAAGTGTGGACATTTCCAGAAGCTTCTAACTAGTCCTATCTATGTGCTATGATTCCTGTCTGTGCTATCATTCCATAGGTTAGGCACCAGTGTGCAGATTCTTTCAATTGCTAAGTGTATCTATCCTGGCTACCTGTTTTGAGTTGGAAGAAATAATTATACAATGGTTCAATAGTCACATTGGACCCATCGTTAGAAGACACTTGGGCTAATACTTCATTTAAAACTACTATGACTGGTGGCCAATTATGGCATTTTGAATTTCTGAAGATCAGCAAATCTCAAAGTAATTATATAATATCCTCAATTTTTGTTACTTATAATCTAAATCAGCAGTCCTCAATATTTTTGGCACAAATTACCGGTTTCATGGAAGACGATTTTTTCCATGGGGCAGAAAATTAGGCATTAGGTTCTTACAAGGAGTATGCATGACCTAGATCCCTTGCACATGCAGTTAACAATAGAGTTTGTGCTTTTATGAGAATCTGATGCCACTGCTGACCTGATGAGGCAGAGCTCAGATGGTAATGCTCTCTCGTAGCGTACCTCCTGCTGTGCAACCCATCTCCTGACATGCCATAGATTGTACTAGACTGTGTCCTGAGGGCTGGGGACCCTTGATATAAATTATGATTGTTATATTAATTATATTATTCCGCAGTAAACAGTCACCTAGCATATGACTGCAAGACTCTCAATAGCCTTTGACAAGTCTCAGGATATTATGTGACTTCGATGCTGGGCTCTTCCTGAAAGTAACCTGATACTTTGCCTCTTTCTCAGTGGAAGTAATCCAAGGACTATTTCCAAAGGTTGCTTGCTGTATTAGTTTCCCAGGACCACCATAAAAATTTACCACCACTGGATGGTATACAAGAATAGGAATTTATTGTCTCACAGTTCTGGAGGCTTGATGGCAAAATCAAGACATCAGTAGAGTTGGTTCTTTATTAATACCCTATTGGAGAATCAATCAATGACTCCTTCCTGGCATATAATGGTTCTCAAAATCCATAATGTTCACTGACTTATAGTTACATTATTCCTATCTCTGTCTCCATTCTAACTTAGCATTTTCCCATCTGTGTCTCCTCTGTATCTCTGTGTGTCTCCAAATTTCTTTCTCCTTATAGGGACAACAGTCATTTGATTAAGAGCTCACCTTAGTCTGATTATGATCTCATCTTAAGTTGATTACATTGACAAAGAAACTATTTCAAAAGTAACATCACATGTATAGGTACTGGGGATTAGGACTCATAGCATAGATTTTTGAGGGATAACAATTCAACCTGCAAGAGGTATATTGGCACTGCAAGAGATAATGTAGTAACCTTGAACTTAGTACAGCAGAAAGCAGAGTGACAAATGTGGAATGGATCAGGAGGCACAAATGGGAGATATGAAAAACACATGACAATTGGATAGAACAATTGAAAGAGAGTTTCTGAGAACAAAACTCTGAGCAGTCAAATAGTCTGATCAATGAAATCAATTTGCTACAACATCAAGTTGTGCTTGCAGTGTTTGTCCATTATGATATGGTATATAATTTGAAATAAAATCTCATATAACTGCTTAACTTGTAATTTTTAAAATATGAAATTCTATTATAGTATCCCATTTTTTTTGTCCTAACACTGCATAGCCATCATTTTGGTAGTGGTTTTAATTGTCTTTTATTCATTGGTTGCTGAAATTAACCAAGGCAGAAAGACACACCCTGATAACACTCAGTTTGTTTGTTTTTCAGCAAGCAAAGGATTGTTTGAGATTTATTTGTCTAGTGATATTTAGTCAATATGCCTTATGACAAAATATTGTTTCTAGATGGGATCCTTTCTGATTGGTCAGTGCCAAAGCAATACTGCTTTTCAGTTACTTCTCCTGGTTGTATGTAGCAGTTTCCTTTTAAAATTATATGTCTAGGAAAATGGCGGATGTGTACGCTTCATAGCCAAGAAGTACATACAGATAAGACATTTAATGTTTTTGTTGACTTGCATTAGCTTGAATTTTCTTGTGGTATAAAAACCTTTTTTTGTCTGACATTTGGGAAATTACGTATGTCCCAATCCATGTCTTGAGAGGAGGCATTCATCCGGTGTATTCACACATCCCAATGCCTATAGTAATTAGCATGGGACCCAGTGGGACAATACATATAATTACAAAATTATTGGTTGAGGGATGGCCATGCATCACAAAACAAGTGCATTGGTGTTTTCCATAATTTGGCATAACACTGGGGGCACCTTCTGAAATCTTAAGTCATGAGAATGTGGAAAGTTTGGGATATCTGAAACCATGTTCCCTAGCTCACTCAAGACTGAAAATAAATAAGCAGGCAAACAAACACACACAGAAAAACAAATTAATTAATTTTATTCTTAGAGAAAAAATTACCCAGACATAAAGTTTTAGAAATTCACAACTTTGTTAGAGACACTATGTCTCAGTCATGCCGACTACTAGCTCCTGCATTTAAAGGATACACATGATAATAAATTTCCCTTTGGGTTAAGGTTGTCTGAGGAATTTCCCTAACTTACACATAACAATTTCTTGACTAAACAGTAGAAATAAATGAAAATAATAAGTAGATGGGCCGGGCGTGGTGGCTCACGCCTGTAATCCCAGCACTTTGGGAGGCCGAGGCAGGCGGATCACGAGGTCAGGAGATCGAGCCCATCCTGACTAACGCCGTGAAACCCCGTCTCTACTAAAAATACAAAAAATAGCCGGGCGTGGTGGTGGGCGCCTGTAGTCCCAGCTACTTGGGAGGCTGAGGCAGGAGAATGGCGTGAACCCGGGAGGTGGAGCTTGCAGTGAGCCGAGATTGTGCCACTGCACTCCAGCCTGGGCGACAGAGAGAGACTCCGTCTCAAAAAAAAAAAAGAAAGAAAAGAATAAGTAGATGCATCCAACTGTATTATGCATAGTATCAGATTTTACCTCAATATTTCTTTTTTCTTAAACCCTTAGCTCATTAAATTCAGGGCATATATGTAACAAGAATTCTGGAATAAGGAGCAGAGGGAGAGATGCTAGCTTCATGCACAAGGAGCTATCTCCCTTTTTAACTGAATACATAACACCAGAACAAAAATTAAATATGTGAGCGTGCGTGTGTCCTTATGTGTGTGTGTGTTTGTGTAAGTCAAGTTTCTGAAATTTGTTCGTTTTCTGATTGACAAAATTAGTTATTGTCCAAGTAAACATTTGATGTTTACTATAAGGTTGAGTTATTGCATGCTCATCTGGTTATCTGGTCTAAATTGGACTTAAATTGCAAAGGCATTTAAAAATATGTATCTCATTTTTATCTCCTAGTATATTTATATAGCTAATATTTTATCCATGTTATATAAAAGAAAACTGACTCAGTAAATTTAGGTAACTTCCCCAAGGTCATTTTAATAAATCACATGGAATTCTTATGTTCATGAACATTTGATCAAAGGAAACCACAAACTTGTTTCTAAAGAACATCTGCTCTGACAATATCCATTTACCCAAATTCAAATACTTGAATTTCAATGTAATTTTTTTTGATGCCCCAGGCTTCCAGGGAAATCAATCTAGTGTCTTCTCAGTGTCTAGGAAATAAGGAGATTCAGTAGGTACTCCTTTTGAAGTTTCTATTTTCAAGGACACTAACCTCGAGGACCTCTCTGTATTGCAAGAAGTTATAGCTTGCTTCTGTAATAATATGAAATTAGTTTGGCCTTTTATGTTGTCTTCCCTGTGAGTATATTATCTAATGAGTTAAGTTCATGTATTTTGTTTTGAGAAATCACAATTTTTTTCTTTTTTTTTTTTTGAGACGGAGTCTCGCTCTGTCGCCCAGGCTAGAGTGCAGTGGCACGATCTGGGCTCACTGCAAGCTCTGCCTCCCGGGTTCACGCCATTCTCCTACTTCAGCCTTCCGAGTAGCTGGGACTACAGGCGCCCGCCACCACACATGGCTAATTTTTTGTATTTTTAGTAGAGACGGGGTTTCACTGTGTTAGCCAGGATGCCCTCGATCTCCTGACCTCGTGATTCGCCCTCCTCGGCCTCCCAAAGTGCCGGGATTACAGGTGTGAGCCACCACGCCCGGCTGCAGAATTTTTTCTAACTGTGCCACAATCTATACTCCTAACCAACAATGGCCATTTGTTTATTTATATTTTTTTTGATATGGGGCTCACTCTGTCACCTAGGCTGGAGTGCCGTAGGGTGATCTTGGCCCACTGCAGCCTTGACCCCCTCTGCTCAAGAAATCCTCCTGCCTTAACCTCCCAAAATACTGGGATTACAGATATGAAACAGTTTGCCCAGCCAACAGTAGCCTTCTGACTGGTTGAAAAATAATTAGCAATAATTTAGGTAAAACTTTCTGTTTTTCATATCACTCACTCGGTGTTACATGATAAAAAATACAATTACCATTATAGTACTGAGAAATGGCCACTAATAAGTAAAATTTAAAGCTGACTTTTAGTTAAAACAACCTTGAGAGAGTGAAAATATGTGGAATGAAACACTGCATCAAATCTTACACATAAATTGTGAGGCACGCCAAGAAATGCAGTTTTCCCATGATCTCTCATTTCTTCTCTCACCACTTTTAAGAAATTCGTAATTGAGTTTAAACTCTAGAATTTATTTATATTTGGACTTCTAATGATTGCATGATATTTGTGAATACTTTTAAAAAAATATTTGCATTTAAAGAGTAACTGCATTTTGTCCATTAGAAATCCTCTTACTGTTTATGTGCAATTATTTATCATTTTGAGAATAAGCTGGGAAAGATAACTTTAAACGTCCTGATAGTGTTGCTTATATTTTCTCATACATATAGCATTAAATAGGCAGATCTCATATGTGTATATTCACAGTCAATGAAGTAAAAATGTTATATTTTAAAAATATATTTCACATTGAAAGCCACATTATACTAATCTACCTGTGAATGAACTCATATTATTCAAATGAAATCGTATTTATATTAAAATATAATTTTAAAGTGTTCAGTATTTATCGACAAATATATAAATTTATTGCTAATTGCTTACAGTGTCATGTTATGCAGAAGAATAAAAGTAATGAATTCTAGCTATCTTAATAGTTTTCTAGAAAATAAAGATACCTAAGTTCTTCCAAAACTCTGTCACATGAATTACATAAGCCCGTTATTTTAAATCTATTTTTACCTTGCAGGGAAGAGTATAAAGTTATGTTTTATTAATATTATGAGATATTACAACTGCCAACATTACAGTGATATCGTGGGAGTTAATATTTTAAAAATACAAATTATTTAAATAAGAAGTATATTTTAATACAAAAAAGAGACAAATGTATTCTTAAGTGTTGTTATCAAAATACTCAGTAATTATTCATCTGTAGAAAAAATAGAATATATTAGTTAAAATTATTTAAAATCTAATCTGAGACAAGGCTAGTCCCTTCCACCTCTGAGCTTGTAAAATCAAAAACAAGTTAGTTACTTCCAAGATACAATGGGAGTACAGGCATTGGGTAAATGTTCCTATTCTGAGTAGGAGAGATTGGCCAAATCAAAGAGGTCCGGGGCCCCATGCAAGTCTGAAAATCAGTCGGGCAGTTATTAAATCTTAAAGCTCCAAAATAATCTCCTTTGACTCCATGTCTCACATCTAGGGCACACTGATGCAAGGGTGGGCTCCCTTGGCCTTGGACAGCTCCCACGGCCCTGGGCAGCTTCACCGCTGTGGCTCTTCTGGTTAAAGCACATGAGACAGAGTGCCTGTGTTTTTTCCAGGAGCACAGTGCAAGCTGTCAGCTGCCATTCTGGGGTCTAGAGCATGGTGGTCCTTTTCTCACAGCTCCACTAGGGAGTGCCTCATGGGGGACTCTGTGTGGGGGCTCCAATGCTACATTCTACCTCTGATTGCCCTAGCAGAGGTTCTCGATGAGGGCTATGCCCCCTTCAACAGACTTCTTACTGGACATTCAGGCATTTCCATACATCCTCTGAAATCAAGATGGAGGCCCCCAAGGCTCAACTCTTCTGTACACCTGCAGGCACAGCACCATGTAGAAGCCACCAAGACTTGGGTCTTGACACCTCAGAATCCATGGCCTGAGCTTTAAGTTGGCCCCATTTAGCTACGACTGGAGCCAGAGTGGCTGGGATGCAGGGCACCATGTCCTGAGGCTGCACAGAACAGTGGGGCCTTGGGCCAGGCCCAGGAAACCACCTTTCCCTCCTTGGCCTCCCGGCCTGTGATGGCAGGGGCTGCTGCAAAGATATCTCAGATGCCCTGGAGACATTTTCCCCATTGTCTTGGATATTAAAATTTGGTTCCTCATTATTTATGCAAATTTTTGCAACAGGCTTGAATTTCTCCCCAGAAAGTGAGTTTTTCTTTTCTACCACATGGTCAGGCTGCAAATTCTCCAAATTTTTATGCTCTGCTTCCCTTTTAAACATAAGTTTCAATTTCAAATCATCTCTTTGTGAATGCATATGACGGTAAGCTTTCAGAAAAAGCCAGGCCACATTTTGCATGCTTTGCTGCTTAGAAATTTCTTCTGTCAGATACCCTAAATAATCTCTCTCAAGGTCAAAGTTCCACAGATCTCTATGTCAGGGACAAAATGCCTCCAGTCTCTTCACTAAAGCACAGCAAGGGTGATCTTTGCTCCAGTTCCCAAGAAGTTCCTCATCTCCAAATAAGACCACGTCAGCCTGGGCTTGATTGCCCATATTACTATCAGCATTATGGTCAAAAACATTCAACAAGTGTCTAAGAAGTCCCAAATTTTCCCAAATCTTTCTATCTTCTTCTGACCCTTCCAAACTGTTCTGACCTCTGCCCATTACCCAGTTCCAAAGTTGCTTCCACATATTTAGGTATCTTTATAGCAGTGCTCCACTCTGCTGGTACAAATTTTCTGTATTTCTCTGTTTTCACATTGCTATAAGGAAATACTCAAGACTGGGTAATTTATACAAAGGAAAGAGGTTTTATTGACCTATAGTTCAACATAGCTATCCATATTATTATCCTACACCATTCCCCAGATAATAGCTACTCATCCTGGCCTGCCTTTGGCCAGATTCCTGTTAGGTCATTTTAACCAGAAATTCCCCTTACCTCTGATATTTTCTCTTAAGAGTTTTTTCACTCACTGACCCTGATCCTGCTTTTTGGCTATAAACTCCCACTTTGTTTTATTCTAAGTTCAGCCCAGTTTCTCTTCTCTAGTTCAAAACCTCATTGCCGATGCAATAGTCCTTATATCTATCACAATAATTCCCCTACAAAAAGTGTGATTTCCTATTATTTAATACGTGTCATGAATATTTTTTAACACTCCTAATTCTATTACCTTGCCCTCTAAAGCTTGTTAGTGGTATTGTGACTTGTAATAATGGTAGACCAGCTTATTCTAGACCACATTTCCTACTGAAAACCTATACCTAATTAGGCAGTCTATTCAAAAGCAAAAACCAAAACCCAAAACTGTTTGAAGGCATCACAGATTTACCAAGGCAGGAAGAATGTGTGGGACGAGATCAGGAGGAAAAGGGGAGGCACAAGGAAGTAAACACAGCCTCTGGCCCCACTTTTCCTCATGAGGCATCTGGTAATTCTAAAATTCATCGGTAAGAAACTGAGAAGCCAAAGGGGACGTTAGATAAATTTACATGCTGTACCAGACAAAACGGTGGTTCAGGGATCACAAAGGAAGAGAGGCTCCAAATAAGACATAAAGGTTTCACTTAAAATACCGAAATTAAATACTTTTGACAGTGAAAGAACCAGAAACAATAGCCAAGTGATCCAATTACAGCTTCCAATCATTCTATTGCTGTCAGCAGAACCACCCTCCTGAACAAAAGTGGACTCTCTCCAGAGGAAGAGAACAACCTACACCCTTATGTGATCTCTGTGATTTTTCACATACTACATTTGTCACTCAACCAAAACAATAAAAATTATTTTAAAAAATCTTAAAATATTCAATATTCAGGCATATAAAAGACACTTTGACTGCAAACTAAGAGAAAAAAAGGAGACAGTAGAAATCACCCACAATGACAGATATTAGAGTTAACACACACAAACATAAAAAGAGCTACAATTAATGTATAAAATAAATTAAAAGTCTAAGAATTTTTTTTTAAACTCAAGAGAAAGTGAACCTACAAAAAATGTATCAATGGAGCAATTAAAGAGAAAAGTAGATCTGAAAAAAATAAACATTTAACACTAAAGGAGATAGACATAAAATACATAAAATAACATAAAAATCATATGAGAATCAGTGTATCAGTCTGTTTTCACACTGCCGATAAAGGCATACCCAAAACTGGGAACAACAAGAGGTTTAATTGACTTCCAGTTCCACATGGCTGGGGAGGCCTCAGAATCATGGTGTGAGGTGAAAGAAGCAAAAGCAGAAGCCCCTGATAAACCCATTAGATCTCGTGAGATGTATTCACTATCACGAGTATAGCACAGGAAAGACTGGGCCCCATGATTCATTTACCTCCTCCTGGGTCCCTCCCACAACATGTGGGAATTCTGGGAGATACAATTCAAGTTGAGATTTGGGTGGGAAAACAGCCAAACCATATCATTCTGCCCCTGGCCCCTCCTAATCTCATGTCTCACATTTCAAAACCAATCATGCTTTTCCAACAGTCCCCCAAAGTCTTAACTCATTTCTGCATTAACTCAAAAGTCCACAGTCCGAAGTCTTATCTGAGACAAGGCAAGTCCCTTCCACCTATGAGCCTGTAAAATCAAAAGCAAGCTAGTTACTTCCCAGATACAAGGGAGGTACAGGTATTGGGTAAATACAGCCATTTCAAATAGGATAAATTGGCCAAAACAAAGGGGTGACAGGGCCCACATAAGTCTGAAATCCAGCAGAGCTTCAAATTTTAAAGCTCCAAAATGATCTCCTTTGACTCCAGGTCTCACATCCAGGTCACACTGATGAAAGAGTTTGCTTCCCATGGTCTTGGGCAGCTCCACCAACCCTGTGGCTTTGCAGGGTACAACCTCTTTCCTGGCTGCCTTCATGGGCTGGCACTGAGTGTCTGTGACTTTTCCAGGCTCACGGTGCAAGCTGTTGGAGGGTCTACCATTCTGGGGTTTGGAGGAAGGTGACCCTCTTCTCACAGCTCTACTAGGCAGTGCCCCATTAGGGACTCTGTGTGTGGGCTCTGACCCCACAATTTGCTTCCACAGTGCCCTGGCAGAAGTTTTCCATAAGGGCTGTGACCCTGATGCCAACTTTTGCCTGGGCATCCAGGCATTTCCATACATCTTCTGAAATCTAGATGGAGGTTCCCAAACCTCAATTCTTGACTTCTGTGCACCTGCAGGCTCAGCACCATGTGGAAGCTGCCAAGGCTTGGGGCCTCCACCCTCTGAAGCCATAGCCTGAGCTCTATGTTGGCCCTTTTCAGCCATGGCTGGAGCAAATGGGACACAGGGCACCAAGTCCCCAGGCTGCCCACAACATGGGGACCCTGGGCCCAGCCCATGAAACCCCTTTTTCCTCCTGGGCCTCTGGGCCTGTGATGGGAGGGGCTGCCATGAAGGTCTCTGACACGGCCTGGAGACATTTTCCCCATGGTGTTGGGGATTAACATTAGGCTCCTTGCTACTTATGCAAATTTCTGCAGCTGGCTTGAATTTCTCCTCAGAAAATGGGTTTTTCTTTTCTACTGCATTGTCAGGCTGCAAATTTTCTGAATTGTTATGCTCTGTTTCCTTTTTTAAATGGAATGCTTTCAACAACACTCAAAGTCACATTTTCAATGCTTTGCTGCTTAGAAATTTCTTGTGTGAGATACCCTAAATCATCTCTCTCAAGTTCAAAGTTCCACAAATCTCTAGGGTAGGGGCAAAATGCCACCAGTCTCTTTGCTAAAACATAACAAGAGTCACCTTTGCTCTACTTCCCAACAAGTTCCTCATCTCCATCTGAGACCACCTCAGTTTGGACCTTATTGCTCATATCACCATCAGCATTTTTGTCAGATCCATTCAAAAGGTCTCTAGGAGGTTCCAAACTTTTCCACACTTTCCTGTCTTCTTCTGGGCACTCCAAACTGTTCCAGCCTCTGCCCGTCACCCAGTTTCGAAGTTGCTTCCACATTTTCAGGTATCTTTTCAGCAACACCCCACTCTACTGCTACCAATTTACTGTATTAGTCCATTTTCACACTGCAGATAAAGACATACCTGAAACTGGGAACAAGAGGTTTAATTGGACTTCCAGTTCCACATGGCTGGGGAGACCTCAGAATCATGGTGGGAGGTGACAGGCACTTCTTACATGGCAGCAGCAAGAGAAAAATGAGAAAGAAGCAAAAGTGGAAACCCCTTATAAATCCATCAGATCTCATGAAAGGTATTCACTATCAAGAGAATAGCACAGGAAAGACCGGCCCCCATGATTCAACTACCTCCCCCTGGGTCTCCCCCACAACACATGGGAATTCAGGGAGACATAATTCTAGTTGAGATTTGGGTGGGGACACAGCCAAACCCTATCAATCAGGTAAAAATCTAACATATATGTAAGTGAATTTCTAAAAAGGAAAGCTAAGAAATAATGTGAAATAACTGATATCTAAAAGACAATAGCTTACTATTAAAGAAAATGCTGGAAACTATCACAAAACAAATTTGTACAATTTGTACATATCTACGCAGGATGTGTAATAATTAAAACATAACTATACTTAGGCATATTGTAGTAGAACTCACTTGAAAATTATACATACAAAATTGTAACAAATCTGAAGAAAAAAACATAATATGATTGAAGGAACAAAATTTATAACTACCCTCAACAAGCCAAGGAATGAGCTGTGTAAAAAAAATGTAATATCCCTGCCCTTTATCATAGTAAAAATGTTTAAATTTTTAATAATTTGTTTGTATTCTAAAATGTTTTAATAAATTCCTATTGCCTTTAATTTAAAACCAAGGTAGCTAAACTATGTACCATTCTTGTTATTCAAACAAATAGATAAGTATCTTTCATTTGTTTAAGCCATAGTCAAGTATTCTATAACTTAATTATATTATTATATTATATATATTATATTATATATTATATAATATATATAATATATTATAATATATTAAATACAATCTATATTTAATATATTAAATATAATCTATATTTAATATATTAAATATAATCTATATTTAATATATTAAATATAATCTATATTTAATATATTAAATATATTAATATATTTTTAATATATTTATTAATATATTGAATATTATTTATATTTAATATATTTATATTTAATATATAATAATCATATTTAATATAATTATTATATATTATTTGATTATTATTTATATAATTGATATACAATATATTATTTATTTTATTTTATTTATTTACAGTATTTATTTATTTATATTATTTATTTATTTATATTAATATAATATAATATATAATACATATTAAATATTATATATTAAATATATTATATAATTATTTAATTATATAATATATTTAATATATAATAATATATTAAATATTTATTAATATATTAAATATAATCTATATATTATATATATTAAATATAATATATATTTAATTTAGTTAATTAATTAGTATATATTTAATTAATTATATATAATATATATAATTAAGATAATATATATTTAATATTTTAAAACATTTAAATATTAAATATGTATTTTAATATATTTATATATTAAATATATGTTTAATATATTATATTAAATATATATAATATAAACACCAGAAAAGTGTT